>NC_000003.12:84858484-85161515 GCF_000001405.40 Homo sapiens
CAGCTAGCAAGTCAGATAGTAGACAGAGACATAGATACACAGATGCATTTATACACACATACATAGATACCTATATACATATCTACATGTCTAGATACATAGATGACAGATACATAGACACTTATACACATGACAATATACATAGCTAGACGGATGGATAGATAGATAAATAGATAGAGAGACCGATCAAACAGTAATGTGAAACAAGGTATTTATGCTCTTTCATGTGTTTATGTATTTGTACATGTACTCAAGACACATCAATATGAAATTATAATCAGTAAAAATCCAGCAGCTTCAGTTCTAAAAAAGCAAGCTAACAAGATTAGGAATAAGTAAAAAACAAAAGCAAATAGAATAAAGACAAAAATAAGGTTCTAAATCAACCAATATTTTAAATTAAGTGTCAGAAGAAGCTGGACACATGAATGTGTATGACAAAGAGGAGTATATCTGAATGTTACATTTTTGTAGTTTGATGGTCTAATTTTATCCCATCTACAAGACGGATCTTATATCTAAAGGAAAGTAATCAATAATTAAACAGAGAAGTACCTGCTTGCCAGGCAGGTCTCATATTTTAAAATACAAATAAGATTTTCCTCCCAGAAGAAATATATTTTCATGACAGGTAGGTAAATAAATTCTGTTGTTTTGTTTTTTTTTAATACTGCATCTGACAATAATTAAGCCTCTGTTAAGCCTGTTGTTTATTTTTAAGTTCAAATTTACTTAACAGTCATTAAAATCTCAGCATTTGCATTTGCCTGTAGTGAGATTCTTCTGTGGGCTTCACAGTGGTTCACAGTAGGCAGTCAAGCCTAATAATAATGGCATGCTAATACTAGAAGAATCTCCAAGTAGTTGGAAAAATTGAGACATGAAATCATGTTTTAAAAGTAACCTTTATTTTAAATGTATTGCTTTTTATCATTTTAGATTCATAAACAAGTTGATTTTTATTAGTTTTATGTTCTTTTGGGATGCTCCATTTTTCTTTTGAACTAGTTGGAATCAAACTCATCCAGAGCTTAAAAGCAAGTGAAGAGAGTCAAATTTGAGGCAAAATAGAATGTACAGTGTAAGGATCTGGGCGGTGGAATCCAATAGACATGTTTTTGATCTTATGTAAATGATAAAATAACATTTTTATTTAAAAAAAATATGTTTACTAGGCCAGGCGCAATGGCTCACGCCTGTAATCCAGAACTTTGGGTGGCTGAGGCAAGTGGATCACTTGAGGCCAGGAGTTGGAGACCAGTCTGGCCAACATGGTGAAACCCCATCTCTACTAAAAATGCAGAAATTAGCAGAGTGTGGTGGCACGCACCTGTAATCTCAGCTACTTGGAGGCCGAATTGCTTGCATCCAAGAGGAGGAGGCAGAGACTGCAGTGAGCCAAGATCGTGCCACTCCAGCCTGAGCGACAGAGTGAGGCCCTGTCTCAAAATAAAAACAAAACCAAAGCTAAAAATTTGTTGACTTATTATCAAATTATTTACACAGTAATCTAAACAGAATGGGTCCCCCATAAATGAAATTAAGAGGAGTTAAACAATTTTTTTGGACTGTAAAATATTAGATTGTATATTACTTGTATTAAGTAACTGGCAGTAAGCACTTTTCGAGCATGTTGTATTAAATGGGAATGCAGCAAATGTATTGAGCCAGTACCTTTAGGGTGTACTCATGATATTGCCTCTGACAATAATTAAACCCAAACACTGAACTAGTTGAGATATAAAGCAAAGTCATTGTCATATGGAGACCAAATAGAATTGCTATTAAATAATATATATTGGGCTGAATCAAGTTCCTAATACCAAGGCACAGAATCAGAAAGCAGCATTAGATATAAAGAGGCTTCCTGAACTCCAGCTCTCCCCTCCTCAGGAGGAGCAACGTCAAACTCTGACTTCCTGCCTGCGGTTTGCTCACCATGACGAGAGAGGAAGCAGTATGTAGATATGTCTTTCTGGCAGTGCGCAGCGGCTGACGCCTATAATGTCAGCACTTTGGGATCCTGAGAGAGGCGGATCACAAGGTCAAAATATTGAGACCATCCTGGCCAACATGGTGAAACCCCGTCTCTACTAAAAATACAAAAATTAGCTCAGCCTGGTGGCGCATGCCTGTAGTCCCAGCTACTCGGGAGGCTGAGGCGGGAGAATCACTTGAGCCCAGGATGCGGAGGCTGCAGTGAGCTGAGATTGCACCACTTCATTCCAGCCTGGGTGACAGAGCGAGACTTCGTCTCAAAAAAAAAAAAAAAAAAAAAAAGGAAAGATTAAAATGTCTTTCCAACTGAAAAAAAAGTCAAGTAAGAAGTGCTCATAATATTTTTAAAAATATAAAGCTTGAGCATTATAAACTGTGAAAAAGATTTGACAAACAAGAAGTGTGAAATATGATCTGTGATACAAAAAAGCCTCATCACAAGAGATCCTGTTTCTCCAGATGAGGAATGCTTCAGCTCTTGTATGAAAAGCATAGAATCTAAACCAAGACAGAGAGGAGACCTGTCACTTACCAGTAAGTGTCATGTTTTCAACATTCTCTTAGGGAAGAAGGAATTGGAATACAATTGGAATTAAGTGGTTCATTTTATAAGATCCTCCTAAATCAACAGATACATATATAGCTTTTTTTTTCTGATGTGCAGATTTCTATATTAGACAGATATTCATCATTATTGTGTTGTTGTTTTCAAATTAAGGCTTTCCTTTACAAAGTGTCTTTACAGACAGATACTTACGCTAATAGGAATCAAGTGACCACTTCAGTCGACATCAAGAGCCATAATTGGTCAAACTACGCATCCAGCATCCTTACAGCATAAGACTTTTAGAAATGCATTTCTTTAGAAATCAAAGAAACCTTTACACATATAATAGTTAAAATGTTTCAATAGTCTCGATTAATACAAATGATTAACACCACACCCCCATTTTTAACAGTAAATGAGATTTCAGTGTCTTAGAAGTTTGTATATACATGCTTATCATTTGAATTTTTCCTACTCAATGGAAAACAAAGTAGTTTTCCTTTGTGTAGAATGGGAAAAGATTAAAAATTTCAAAAGTATTGACTGCCATCTCCTAGAAAAGTAGAATATTGGTGTGTTGCTATAAATACTACCACAGTTTGCAGAAAGGGTGTATTTAAAATAAAGGGGTGAGAAGTTAAAATTGTGCTATTTATCCATTGCATTTACTATAGATTGAAAGGGATTTGTAAGTCAAAAGAAGCAAAATGAAAGCAAGAAAAGGTCAAAAAAAGTAACAAAGATAGAATGCAGAACAGGTAAATGTGCCCCTAGGGAAACACACAACAGGAAAGGCATAAAGATAATGGCACATATCTCAGTCTAGATATATAGAATGCAGTGCCAGGTTTGGTCTTTAAGGTGTGCGTTAATTCGAATGGAGAATTTTCCATTGTGAATATGCATTTTAGTGCCTCTACTCTAGGTAAATGTTTGTTTGATTGCTGAGCCTAATAGTGGTAGTATCTAAATGAGCCTTATAATAATGGTAGTATCTAAATGGTGTTTGCTCGGCGCAATGCTCATATTACATACAAGTGAACAAGCTTCTGCTAGAGCTCCTATGTCACATCATAGGAAATAGTTTTCATCAAAGCTGGTTTAAGCGTAACAAAGTGAAGAAAGTAAATTCAACAAGAAGAAAAATGTTTTATGTGAAAACTGGGACTTGGCAAATGGGCAAAGTAAAAGGTTTTAGAGTTATAAAATTCATAATTTTCTACTTGCCCTATTTAAAGTGAATGCAATGCTTCAACTAAGATCTGTTACATGATACTTTATATTAATAGTCTGTTTCCCCAACTCATGTCTATTTGCTCTTCCCAGATATATTTGTGTCATACAAAGGTAGAGAGCAATGCTATAATTACCATCACCAGATAGCTTATTTATTAATTCAGGCAAAGCCCTTTTGCTGCTCAAAATCACTAGTATTTTTCCTGGTATTTCTCTGCTACTAGGGACTCAATGCTTCCCCCGATCTATTCATGCAAATTCCATTCATGTTAAATTGAAGTGCTAACAAGTGTGCTTTTTTTGGGTATGTTGTAAACATAGTGTGCTAAACTTATCATATATAAATCTCTCCAGTATATTCATGCTATTCTAAGCATTGATAATAATAAATCTTATAATGTTTCTGAAGTGATACCCTCAATTGAATGTTGATGAAAACAAAATTTAATAAACTTACATCCACGCGGTGCTTTGTATTTTCAAAGTTGTTTGATTTTCAAAGCCTCTGCACAGCACAAAATGTTGTAGGTCAGCATTCAAGTATAATTATGTCCATCTAATGGAAGGAAAACTGAGCACTTAGAAAAGTTAAGTGAAAAGTTTGACAACGCGCTTTCATGATTCTGTAGGTAAATTGACACCAATACCTGCCTGTGTTATCTATTGAGGAAATATAATTGAAAGTCAAATCTCTCAACCCAGAAATCTACTCCACAAAGGTAGTAGACAAAGAAAACGCTTTTGCTATTGAGAATGCATTAAAACAGAATGTGATGTGCATCACAGGCAGTCCACTAAGTGATTGCAAAGACAGAAACAAATTTCACCCTCTTAAAGATCCAAGAAGATACAACCAATTACAGACATGTTTTCCAGATAAACAATAACTAGTCTTCAAGTAAGAGGACTTGACAACACCATTTGTCACACATTATTCATACTAACTTTACCTGGTAATTGGGGTGACCATCTCTGTTAGCTACTTGGCTTTATCGAGAAGACAAACTTCTCTTCATGACAGGATGTAGTTCTATAATTTGGAGCAAGATCACCACCAAAGTCAGCCTCCAACCCTCACACAGAAACTGGAAGAAAGGATTAGTATCTTCCTTGATGTTTGCATTTCTGAGATGTTTCATGCACTCGAGAAAGATATTACTAGGTCACAAAGCTGAAAAAAAAGTCAATATAGTCTTTGAAAATATTTGTATACATTTCAAATAAATTGGAAAATATTTATAATTAAAAGCAATCTAAGAAGATAATGTTGTAAAAGAAAAAGTAGAGGAGGGAAACCTCTTCTCCCATTTTCAACAGGAAGAATTAGGCCTTTGATTTTATATTTGCCTTTGTCTTACACACAGAGCAAACTTCCAACTAGGAAGAACCCAGCCGCATTATATTGCTGCTGCTCTTTGAGTTCCCCTGGCTGCTTCCTACCAATAAGACCAAGCAAGATAGTAAAGCAGATCCATTCTTTGGAGAAAGGTGGGATTTCCGTTGGCTGACTTTAGCTCAAGGTTTTGCCAAATCTTCCTTAGACAGCATGGCTGAGTAGGAGCTTCCACTTAAACTTTTCCTCTCTCTCTTTAAGTGTGGTAAAATTTATATCACTGAAGACTTTTTCAGCCTTAGCTGGCACCCTCTTTATTTACTTTCAGGCATGTAAACAATTAAAATCATTTCATGTTTAATACCATCTTGGCATTTGTTTCTTGGAAGACCTGGATTAATAGCACACTGTGGAAACACAAAATAGTAAAATTGCTGTGGAGTGGTATCATTCAAATTACTAATGCATATACCCTTTGGCTCAGCAATTCCACCTCTGGGAGCTTATCATCTAGACATGCCTGCACACGTCAAAAATGATGTGTGGACAAGGTTGCACATCACCAGAGCATTGTTTAGAGTATAACAATGGAAAAAACACAAGGGGATGAATTCAATTAGATACTGTAAATTCACACAATGGAATGATATGTATTTATAAAAATGATTAAGGTAGCTTTCACTGTGCCAATATGGAGCAATCTCCAGAGCATATTGTCCAGGTTGAGGTATAGTGACCATTCACAGGCACACTATAGCCTTGAACTCCTGGGCTCAAGCTATCCTCCTGCCCCAGTCCCCCAGCAATTGGGACTATAGGTGCACACCATGTCCAGGGTATATTTTTAAGAGATGAAAGCAAGGAGTGGAAGAGTATAAATAGAATATCTAATTTTATGTATCTAAAGGGAGGTAATAAGTATATTTTCATATTGGTTTCATGAAACACTGGAAGACTCTCTTATGCATTAGGAAAGAAATCATTTTAGGGAATAGAAGGGGAGAAATTTGGTAGAGAAGGAAATGGGCACAATCAAGTTTTCTAAATATATATTTTTTACTGAGATTTGACTCATGTAAATATACTATCAAATAAAAAATAAAATTCAATTTAATCAAAATATATGAGTCTTATTGAAAGCATGTGGGCACCTAAGCATTAAATAGTAGAAATAATTAGTGCTTTATTTGACTTTTGAAATGTTGTCCTTTATCTTTGCCTTTTTTCTGTACACTAACTTGTGATCAATGATCTATTTCTTCATTTAATAAACAGTTCTCAAATATCTACTACTTATCAGACACTGTGCTAGACCCTGGGTGAATAGAACAACAAAGAGCCTATCCTCATGGAGTTATAACCAGAGAGAAAGACAGAAATTTCAAACTGAGACTAATTCATTTGTAGAGAAATACTAGAGAAAATGAAGTCTACAAGTGGGATTTCACCCAGCTCTGGGGTTCAGTCAGAAAGCGAATCAGTTGCTATAGCAGTAGTAATTTAAATTATTGCTCTGGCCTTGGATATTTCAGAATTCTGAGAGTGGGCATTATATTAAATTGTATACAAATTATGAGAATTTCTGTATTAGAAATGTTGACATGGAATGAGGCAGAACGTCTTTGAAAACCATGTTAATCAGATTCAAGCTAGGCATTATCTAAAATGTTTATTTCTTAAGCTAAAATCTAAAGAGGGTAGCAGTTCCTTTTTGCACACAGATGTAATAAAAAATGCATTATCAGAACTTGCATAAATTAACTTTCAAATAAATATATACATTCTCATAGATATGTAGCATTTTGGCAATCAATGTAGTTGAACTGACAATCTGTATAAATTAAATATATAAATTTAATTATATTTTATAATGTTTTACATTAAAATATATTAAATCTTGAAATATAAAGATTTTCTTTTTCATTTAGGGCATTTTTTATATTCTTTTTTTAGTCACATGAAAACAGTCATTTTTAAAGTGAATTTGTATTATTTAAGCCATATTTATTAAAAAATGAGGTACAAAGTACAAAGAATACTAATAAACTTCTACATGTAAACTACTTGGTTTACGAGAAAGATCGGTCTCATGGCTTTTAACATCTTTCTTCTCATCCTCCTCCTCTTATGTCTTCATTTTCCCCTTCATGGGTAACATCTATTTTAAATTTTGGATGTATTTTTTATTTGCTTTAGAAAAATGTTATTATTCATTTTAAGTTTTTAAACAACTAATCATTTATTTCCCATGCTTTAATATTTATTAAAACAAAATAAATTGTATATATTTACCTGAAATTTGCTTTTTTAGCTCCACTTAAGGTTCTTAAACTTTAGGTTCTCTCCTCAATGTTATTACAAGTAGCTGAGGTCTTCATCTATATTGCTATAGAGTATTATATCGTATGGTTGTAACACAATTTATTTGTTTATTCTACTGCTGATGGACATTTAAGATTTTTCTTGGATTTTTTTGCTATTGCAAAAAGTACTCTGATATGGTTTGGATTTGTGCCTCTGCCCAAATCTTATGTCAAATTGGAATCCCCAGGGTTGGAGGTGGGACCTGGTGGGAGATGACTGGATAATGGGAGAGGATTTCCCCCTTTGTGCTGTTCTCATGATAGTGAATGAGCTCTCACGAGATCTGGTTGTTTAAAAATGTGTAGCACCTTCCCCCCTCCTTGTTCCTGCCCCAGCCATATAAAACGTGTTTGCCTCTCGTTTCTTCACCTTCCACCATGATTGTGTTTCCTGAGGCCCCCCAAAAAGCTGAGCAGATGCCAGCATCATGCTTTCTGTACAGCGTGTGGAACTGTGAGCCAATGAAACCTCTTTATAAATTACCCATACTGAGATATTTCTTTTTATAACAGTGTAAGAATGGGCTGATACATACTTCTATGAAAATACGTATGTCTTGGAATACATATACATGAGGTTCTTCCAGATAAAGATTGAAGATTAGAATTTCTAGTCCTTGTGCCTATATGTTATTAACTTTTAAAGGTAATATCAGTAATTTTCCAAAGTGTTTGTACTTATTTGGAGTCCCTCCTGTGAGCAATATATGAAAGATCTGTCATTTCACATCACCACTATTTGATATTTGAAGGCTATGAATTTTTATAACAATGTGGTTACATGTAAAATGGTGCCACATTATGATTTTAATTTGTATTTTCATATTGCTATTACATTTGAGTGTAATTTTTAGTTTTTTGATAAAAATTCAAATTTCCCCTTCTGTTAACTGCAGTTTGAGTCTTTGTGTTTTATAATTTTTTCTTTCCTTTAGTAGTTGTGAAGCTTTTGTTATACATGCTGAATAATATTCACTTGTCATTTTTATGCACTGAAAATAATTTCTCACAATTTGAGATTCTTGTTTTTGTTTTTTATGGTCCTTGATAAACAATAACTTTTAATTTATATACTCATATAGTAGAGGTTTTCTTTTTTGTTTGTTTTGTGTCAATGTTTTTTTTTTTTTTTTTGCTGTCTTTAAATTATAAATATATCCCCATGAAATGACTTCTAAAAGTTGTATACTTTCATTTTTTAGATTTTTCTTTATCCCAAACTGGAATTGACTTAGTGTATAATGTTGGGTGTACAATTCCTTTTAGTTGTGTTTTCTTCCTCATCCTTTCAATTCCAAATTGATCAAATAATTTAGTAATAATTAGGTTGGTTTTGGTATAATCTCATCTGGGAGAGGCAGGCCAAAGTTTAAGGAGTCTGACTACTGGATTTAACAGATTTATTTCCTTTAGACCCAGACTTCTGATAGCTGAATGCTATTTTTTTCTCTTTTGTTTTTCATGCTCTCTAGCCTTTTATGAATTAATTAATTAATTTTTTTTTTTTTTGAGATAGAGTTTCACTCTTGTCTCCCAGGCTGGAGTGCAGAGGCGCCATCTTGGCTCACTGCAACCTCTGCCTCCTGGGTTCAAGTGATTCTCCTGCCTCAGTTGCCTGAGTAGATGGGATTACAGGCACCAACCACCACCCCTGGCTAATTTTTGTATTTTTAGTAGAGATGGTGTTTCACCATGTTGGCCAGGCTGGGTCCCAAACTCCTGACCTCAGGTGATCCACCCACCTCAGCCTCCCAAATTGTTGGGATTACAGGTGTAAGCCACCGTGCCCAGCCTTAATTTGGTAATTTTTCACTTGATTTGTTTGCTATTATTTGATAAATTATATCCACCATTTTGGTTTCAGTGATTACCCTACAGATTTTAATATACATATTTATCAAAATCTCTGCTAACATTATCTCTACCTTATTCCTGACATTAGCAGGATTAAGAACCTGTAAATCCCAATCACTCTCTCTTAATGTATATGCTATTGTTAACTATTTAGTTCAATATTTTAGACACCAGAATTCATTATCATTATTTTTACTAGTAATAGTGCTTTTTCTAGTCATAGTGTTTTTTTTTTTTTTTTTTTTTTTTTTTTTTTGCACAGATTTTAACTAATTCCTTAGGTTTTTATTTCTTCTGGCATGTCAGACCATATAATCTGGGATTATTTTTATTCCGCTTAATGTTTAATTTTAGGAGTGTATGTGTCTGTAATCTTCATGGGTCTTATGCTCATTTTTTTTTTTGATTCTTCAGTGTCATTCTTCTTTGCTTTGTTTCCCCTGTCAATTCCAAAGAAATACATTGTATCTGTAAAGATGAAATAAGAATTATAAGTGTCCCTCTCCCCCTATTTAAATGAATATGTCTGGATTCTTATCATTGACTGGAAGGCAGAAAACAATTTTAAAAAAGGTAGCATTCTTTACTATATGTATAACCAAATATTACAATTGTGTGTATGTACATACATGTACATATATATGTACATTTTTGTATACAGACATTAGTCATCTTCCAAAATTCCATAAAAGGGCCATACGCTATGGTTGCATATTTGTTTAAAAGGTTGTAAGCTTCCTGAAAGCAGTGATAGTAGCACTGAATTTCTCTTATTATCTTACCTGATGCTAAACCGAAAGCAGATGTTCCATAAATGACTTAGGCGAAGAACATGGTTCATTTGTGCCGGAGCCTAAAAGAGAAATAGTGTTTTGTGAAAAGATGATAGCTGAATGCTGTCAATAATTTTGCTTCTCCTGGGAAAAGAATACCAGAATGATTGTTCAAGGTGAAGAAATTGCTTACCACACTGAAAAATATGAGAGGTTTTGCACACACAGGAAGGTGTCCTCATGCCTGAATTATTACTGGGGGAAAAGAATTGAACATGGTTGAGGACAACCATTTCCAGAATTGTGTTCCTCACCTGAAAGTTTCTAGACAGGAAGTGAGCACTGACAGACAGACTGAAGTATTTCATATTTTCTTAGGTGGCATTTTTGTTAAAGGATTTAAATATTCTTTGGAAGTCTATATACACTTGTAGAGCTGTAGAAAAGAAAAAAATAATGACTCTGGAACAAAACTGCCTGGAGTCACATCCCAGCAAAACTCTAGCTAGCCATGTAACTATGAGCAACCGTTTATCCTATGAAGCCACTATTTCCTCATTTGTACAACAGGAATACTCATGAAACCTACCTAACATAATTATTGACAGTATAAATGAGTTAATATAGATAAAATGTTTAGACCAGATCAGATTGGTACAATGTTAACATAATCTTATCTGCTTTCCCACCTGGACACCAAGGAATTGAGAAGTGAGCAAGTGTCTTATTCATATCAGAATGCTCCATATTTGTTTGTTTGTTTTTTGTTTTGAGACGGAGTCTTGCTCTGTCGCCCAGGCTGGAGTGCAGTGGCACGATCTCGGCTCTCTGCAAAATCTGCCTCCCGGGTTCGCACCATTCTCCTGCCTCAGCCTCCCAAGTAGCTGGGACTACAGGCGCCCGCCGCCACGCCCGGCTAATTTTTTTGTATTTTTAGTAGAGACGGGGTTTCACCGTGTTAGCCAGGATGGTCTCAATCTCCTGACCTCGTGATCCGCCCACCTCGGCCTCCCAGAATGTTCCATATTTCTAAAGGATATGACATAATAATAGTAGTAACAATAGTAATAATGATAATAGAGAAAATGTATTAACGTCTTATTATAGATGTCAGTCAGTGTGATTTTATGTTACTTATGTCATTTGCCCCATCATGTTGGGGCTAGTAATATCATTATGTTCACTTTACAGATGAAGAAAGCACTGATTAAAGAGGTTTATTAGTTTGTTCAAAACCAAGTAACTTGTAATATTTCAGTCAAATTGCAGTATTCCTTAGTAACCAATTTGTTATGTTACCTTAAAACTGTCAGGAATTTGATTAAAAATGCATTAAATAAATAAGGAAACAATGCATTTTCAATTAAACATCATTTATCTTCATAATAAACTTACTTTATAGATATGTTCAGTGATGGTAATGACTTCACATTCATTTTAGCATTGGGAAATGTGTTTCTTCAGTATCTTTACAGGTGCTACAGAGCGATGGTCTCCATAAGGTAAATAAAATGTGGTACCCTGGTATCTGTTTCTTTAATTGAGCTTTTAAAATATATATCATTTGAATGAAATTATAATGATTTCATTAACCTCTTTTGCCCTTTCTCAAACATAATGACTATAAATGTGATAGGAAATTAAAACTGCCCATTGCTGGAGGAAAGCAATCAAGCCAGATTGACCAATATGCTTACACGCTTGTCTGGAAACTTTTCTCCCTTAAATAGGGAAGCTGAAAGAGGAGGATCATTATAAATATCTATTTGTGTATCTATAAAGAAATTAAATCATGCAAACTCAGCCTCAGAATTTCAATGAATCAATTTTACAGACAGAAATCTTAAAATTTTTATTTCTTAGGGATTTCCACTTTAACAGAAATGATAAAACATCCTGGCTTATTTTATTCAGAAGGTGATGCATATAGATTCCATAATTTTCAGTGGTCACCTTAAAATGAGTTTCCAATACCAAATATTTTAGTATGGAATGACTTTTAAATCTAGGGGGAAAGAAGTCTATTAAGTACTCACAGGTGTGTAGGTCCATTTGCTGGATGCAGTACAAGCCAGCTGCTATCTAAGCTATGAGGCCTTGCACATTTAGTAACTTTGTCACCTTTAAAAATGAGTAAGTGTTAATAGATATGTTGGCATGTATTATAGGTATCACAGACAAAAAAGAAGCAATTAAATAATGTGATATGGCAAAGAAAAAAAAAACAACTAAAAAATTAGGGCCCAGAGACACACTGCTTCCAAGTTTATAAACAAAACAATCTCATTCTTTCCATCTCCATCTCCCTGTCTCTTTCTGTTGCTTTCTCTCTCTCTCTAGCACACAGACAGATACACATGCACATACACATAGAGAGGATCATAACCAATGGTTCTGAAATGATTACAAAGAACCCAAACTTAGTTTGATGCTGGTGCAGAAACTACCATCCTGTGAATCTATTTATAGGTTTAGCCTTTAGGGAAGGATAAGGATCACAGTGAAGGAAACATCATAAAATGAAAAATTTTCTTTCCAAAAGGACATTGAAAATTTTACCTTCCCTGCATTGCATGTGTCTACTTACAATGCCAAAAGCCCCCCCTCTCAAATAATTATTCATCTTTGTCATTCCCCTCCAGCATCATTCCTTCATTTTTAACCCGTTTTAGAAAGATACTCACTTTAAGAAATTATTTCTCAAAACAACTACAGCTACTGGCAAAGAAAGTGGTTAGAAAATGGAAGTGTGTTTGTGTGTGTGTGCGTGTTTTCCTTCCCCTATGTCCAATATATTTCCTCAGGTCTCTACTTTGGGACCGAGAAAGAGGAACTCTGATAATCCAATGTAATCCACCTTCCAAAGAATTGTAAACCCAGACCAAATTACAATTTCTCTTTTTTAAGACTAAATTATTTTATGTCTCTTAGGGGGAAAAAAGCAACAGGCACACATTTATTTGCATTAATATGTGATTGATTAATATCCCCACACCATTTCTGTTCATTTATACTGGAAAATAAGGTACATGTTGGCCACAGTAGATTTTCTCTTGGTAAAATTCCGAGCACTGCTCCATGTTATAAATAACAATACACAAGTAGATGCAGAACTTGTTTTCTTGCCCTAGTTACCTCCAAGTTCAAGGAGTTCTGCTAGGAAACCTGTTTTCAGTATTGCTGCCTTCAGGACCACTTCTCTGCAAGTGCTTATTCCTCATCTAATTCCTTTTTCTACAGAAGGCTTTCTAGCAACTACAAACTCTCAGTTTCTGACCTCTGCCGGTGATCTTCCAAACTTGTCACCTCCTCAGACTTTTCCACCAGCCTTTCTCCTAGGTCATCTCTACCTGCAGGATCTTGCACTCTCATCCTCAACCCCAGCGTTTTCTTCCCAGAAATACCTTCTGTTCAATCCCCAGGACAACTGCAGAAAAGTCTAGTGGCCAGGAGTCACCAAAAGACCAGAGCCCAGTACCCGGAACATAGCAGCTAATATGCCGAGAGAGAGAGAAAAGTGCCAGTGAGAATATGATTGAAAAGTATGCACACGCATTCTCCTTGAATTTTGGTCTTTGTTTTGTTCTTGTATAAATCAATGTAATAGTGCCCATTGTTCACAAGTGTATGAAGAAATGGACACTCATTTATAACAGCTAAGCAGGAAAAAAATGTTTCAAACTTTTTTCTCAAGCACAATTTAGCATTAGAAATAGAAATACATACTAGAAACCCCCTAACTGTGCAAAATACTAATCTAGACTTCCAGAAATTAATTTGAAGAAATATTTGCAGATATGTTCATATTCACCTCAAGTATACTTAGTGCAGCATTTTCAAAATAATGATATATTGTCAGTGATGTAAATACCCAACAAAGAAAAAAATGATCAGATTACTTATGCATATGCCAGACAACACACACATATCCTTTGAAAAAAATATGCAGCCACTAAAATGGCATTATAGAGGATGATTGAATGACCAGGAAATTGTTCATGATCTATAAATTGGCAAAGGCTCTTAAATTATAATATACCAATATTTGTGTGTGTGTGTGTTTGTGTGTAGAAAACTGCAATAAGGTTCACAAAAACATTAACACAATTTGTCTCTGAGGTATTGGAAATTTGATTCTTTTTTGGGTTTTTCTTTATTTCATCTAAACCTATAAATGTGATGGATAATTTTTATAAGTAGATATAATATTACTAAATATATAAATTATTTGTTGAATGAATTCATGAATTAATAAAAGAGTGATGAAATAACTAAATGAAAAATAAATGCATAGGTTTTAAACCCTCTGATCTGTGTATGATAGCCCCTTCCTTTTATTCACTTCTAAAAACACAGATGATCTCATTGTTCCACATTTCTTGTGATGTTTGCCATAACGTCAGCAATGGTGTGATATAGAAAATAGATGCCTACTATAAGTTGGACCTGCTATAAAATATCTCATTGTCATCTCATAAAAATATTTTGAACATTATATGTATATTATACTTCTATAAACAGGTTAAAAATTATCTACTGCTGTAAATTTCATACCCTCCAGTTTCATCATTTTTCTTATTACTGACCTATCTATCTATCTATCTATCATCTGTTTGTTTGTTCATTTATTAGAGACAGGGTCTCACTATGTTGCCCAGGCTTGCCTAGAACTCCTGTGCTCAAATGATCCTCCTGTCCCAGCCTTCCAAGTAGCTGGCATTACAGACTCACACCACTGTGTCCAGCTGACTTATTTTCTTTTTACAATGTAAGTTACTTCTCTTATTAATCCTCCTCCTACAAGATCTGTATTCTAATTCAGTGCCTCCCAATACAGTGGTAAAGAACAAGTTTGTTTTATTTATAGATTTATATTCAATTGCAGATCAATAATTCCATAAAATATAATAAGAATTAATCATTAGAAAAAGGAGTATTAGGCTGGGCGCAGTGGCTCACGCCTGTAATCCCAGCACTTTGGGAAGCCAAGGCAGGCAGATCACTTGAGGTCGGGAGTTCGAGACCAGCTTGACCAACCTGGATAAACCTCGTCTCTACTAAAAATACAAAATTAGCCAGGTGTGGTGGCACATGCCTGTAATCTGAGCTACTTGGGAGGCTGAGGCAGGAGAATTGCTTGAACCCGGGAGCTGGAGGGTGTGGTGAGCAGAGATCGTGCCAATGCACTCCAGCCTGGGCGACAAGAGCGAAACTCCGTCTCAAAAAAAAAAAAAAAAAAAGAAAAAGAAAAAGGAATATTAAAAAAGACATACCAAATACAAACCCAAACTTTTTCTATTGCATTTAAAACCACAAAATTCATCCCCGTAAATATCATATGAAACATTAGGAAAAAGAAAACAATTATAAAGTTTGTAAACTTTGTTCATTGAAATAATCATTATTATACTCATAATGTGATTCCTATTTTTACTAAACCAAGAGTTACAAGTCTGCATATTGTTCACATTTTGAACAAGCACCTATAGATTCATATATAATTTCTTTTTTTCTTCAACTTCTATTTTAGGTTCAGGGGTACAATTGCAGAATGTGCAGGTTTTGTTACATAGGTAAACGTGTGCCTTGGTGGTTTGCTGCACAGATCATCCCATCACCTAGGTATTTAGCCCAGCATCCATTAGCTATTCTTCTTGATGCTCTCCCATCACCCACATGCCCAACAGTCCGGTGTGTGTTGTTCGCCCCCATATGTCCATAATGTTCTCATGTTTCAGTTTCCACTTATAAGTGAGAACATGTGGTGTTTGGTTTTCCATTCCTGTGTTATTTTGCTGAGGATAATGGCTTCCAGCTCCAACCATGTCCCTGCAAAGGACATGATCTAGTTCCTTTTTATCACTGCATAGTATTCCATGGTGTATATGTACCACATTTTCTTTATCTAGTCTATCATTGATGGGCATTTGGGTTGATTCCATGTCTTTGCTATTGTGAATAGAGCTGCATGTGCATTTATGTGTATAATAGAACAGTTTCTATTCCTTTGGGTATATACCCAGTTATGGGATTGCTGGGTCAAATGGTATTTCTGCTTCTACATCTTTAAGGAATTGCCACACTGTCTTCCACAATGGTTGAACGAACTTACACTCCTACCAACAGTGTAAACGCATTCCTTTTTCTCCGCAACCTTGCCAGCATCTGTTGTTTCTGGACTTTTTAGTAATCGCCTTTCTGACTGGCATGAGACAGTATCACATTGTGGTTTTGATTTGCATTTCTCTAATGATCAGTGATGTTGACCTTTTTTCATGTGTTCGTTGGTCACATGCATATCTTCTTTTGAGAAGTGTCTCTTCATGTCCTTTGCCCACTTTTTAATGGGGTTGTTTGGTTTTTTTTTCTTGTAAATTTGTTTAAGTTCCTTGTAGACTCTGGATATTAGACCTTTGTCAGATGGATAGATTTCAAACATTTCCTCCCATTCCATAGGCCCTCTGTTCACGCTGATGATAGCTTTTTTTGCTGTGCAGAAGCTCTTTAGTTTAATTAGATCCCATTTGTCAATTTCTACTTTTGTTGCAATTGCTTTTGGCATTTTCCTCATGAAATCTTTGCCCATGTCTATGTCCTGAATGGTATTGCCTAGATTTTCAAGTTTTAAATGTAACAAATGAGTTTACTTTTTCTCATTTACTTAATCGATCTAAGTTTGATTGACTGATTTCTAAATACTTACTCTCAATTTCTTATCTAGTTGATGAACCTGTAACAAACAGCAGACAAGCATGGTCCCACTAACCTCACTTTGAGTAGCATTGTTTTAGCATTTCTGCTTTATTGTGGATTCTTTGCTCCCACCATGTCACTTTCTTTCTATACCTTTCTCTCTCAATGAAGTGCCCAAGTCATGTTCTTCTACTATGGTTGCTTGTCCATTTCTTCCCTCCACTGCTGCTACAATTGTCTCTGTCTCATATTTGTAGTATAAATGACATTTATTTACCAAGGCACAGAATAAACTGTACTCATGGGCTATTTATGGGGAAGGGAATTAACTGTCTTTCTCTCAAGGACAACAACCCGAAATGTATGTGCTATGTTCAAGAGGGCATGGCAAATGTAGGCCCTATGAAAATATGCAGAGTACTGGGTGAGCAGCAGTATTCCTTGTCTGTTGTGTTCCACTGTTTTTGTTCTAAGCACTCTGTGTGCGTTAAAGAGAACCTCAAACAAGAGTTTGTAGACAGGCACAAGATCCAGCCCTCAAAAAATAAGAAGCCATCCATGCCTAGATAAGTGAGCAGACACCCAGCTAAGCAGGATCTAGGCTCATCACAGAACTGGAGAGAAAATTACAGCTGGGATTGAGGCCTAAATAAAGACTCATCAATCTAGGAAAGGTTAGAGGAAAGAGCTGCAGCTTTGTGGGCACACACAACCCCAGAGTATCACTCAGGTGTGATTACTGGGTTAATACACTCCCAGATTTACTTTTCCCTGGGGAATAGGTAGGCTAAGTCTGCACTAGGCAAAGCTGGTGAGGTGGAGGATTATAGCTATTTTGTTTCTTAGAAATGTTGATACATTTCTTGGAAACTCAGTGTTTTCATCTGCAAAATGAAAATTAAACTAACTATCTTTCCAGTCTGAAGGATTAGTGTAAACACCAAGCAACACATGTGATATGGTTTGGCCTGTGTCCCCACCCAAATCTCGTCTTGTAGCTCCCATAATTCCCATGCATTCTGGGAGGGACCTGGTGGGAGATGATTGAATTATAGGGGTGGGTCTTTCCTGTGCTGTTCTCATGATAGTGATTGGGTCTCACGAGATCTGATAGTTTTAAAAACGGTAGTTTCTTTGCACCAGCCCTCTCTTTTTGCCTGCCACCATCCACGTAACACGTGACTTGCGCCTCCTTGCCTTCTGCTGTGATTGTAAGGCCTACCCAGCCATGTGGAACTGGAAGTCCAATTAAACCTCTTTCTTTTTTAAATTGTCCAGGCTCGGGTGTGTCTTTATCAGCAGCATGAAAATGGGCTAATTCAATATGTGAAAGAAGATGTATGCAGTTCGCTAACATATATATGTATATTTACATGCATGCGTATGCATACATGTAAGCATATGCCATTATTATGACTATAATTTGTATAACCTGAGCCATCTGACTCCCAAGCCTTTTATATTCAGTGAATATGTGTTTATTGGTCTCTTCAGTACCTATTTCTCTTGGGTAGAACTTTATATGTGTTTTAGCCAGAAGTTTGCTTCATTCCAAAAAGACATCTTTACCTTGACCCAGTTCCACTACTTCCTTTAGATGTTTAAAAACCTTTTTTAACATCTTCATCCTCAATATCATCAATTTCTATTTTATACATATAGATCGCCTTTGATATTTCTAAGTGTGATACCTTTCCTAGTTTTCCTTTTTAAGTCTTAGGCTTTATACTCTGCACTGTCATGTACTTCACTATATCCTTTTCATAATTTGCCCTTTTCTTACTTCAAAAATATTTTATCTTCAGTAAAGCACTCCCACTCCCTCATTCCTTCACATGAGCTGGTAAAATTTGAAGTTTATTTCCCAAAGCAGTGTATTGTTACAGTTCACTTTGAAACATGGAAACACAATAGTAAATTGTGTAGTTCTTCCTCAGTCAGGTATATGAGCCCTCTTTTAACTCCTTCCTACTTTTCCAGTGGAATCTGAAAAATCCAGTGCCAGAAGTGCCACATACCTGTGAGGTGAGCGTATAGAAATAAGGTACAAAAGCTGTCGCTGGAAGCCGTACAGTCAGCCTAGTGTTATTTTCCAATACCAGCTTTCCCCTTAGTTTCTTCACTTATTTTTCTTTTCCTTTTCCATATTTTATTTTATTTTGCATAATTGTCTCCTTTATAAAGTGCACTCCAATAATTCTCCTTGAGCTCGTTTCTGAATTCCACATGTCATAGTGCCACTTTTGCATCTGGTGCCCATGTTTATGATTTTCCTGCTTTGATCTGTTTAATTGTTCTTCTTCAGGTCTCTGGAGAACATTAGTTATATTTATGTACATCCTTGTGCTCTTCCTGTAATTCAAAGAGTGGTGTCATCTGCATGAAATAAAATTGATTTCACACTCAGTGTTAGCATCCTGTTTTCATTTTTGTATTTTACTTCCCTGAAAGTTTCTAAGAATCTCCTTATAAAATGTCTTTAGCCAGGCATGGTGGCATGTGCATGTGGTCCCAGGTACTGAGGCTGAGGCAGGAGGATGGCTTGAGCCCAGGAGTTTGAAGGAAGCCTGGGCAACATAGAAAGAACTTGTCTCTAAAAAAGAAAATAAATAAAATAAAATAAATAAGTAAATAAATTATTTCTGTTTATGATGGCTCACACCGGTAATCTCAACAGTTTGGGAGGCCAAGGTGGGAGGATCACTTAAGGACAGGAGTTGAGAATAGTCAGGGCAACATATTAAGACCCTGTCTCTAAAAATTAATTAATTAAAAAAATTTTAAATTAAAAAGTAAAAAATAAAATAAAATAAAAAGTAAGTCAGGGCACAGTGGCTCACACCTGTAATACCAGCATTTTGGGAGGTTGAGATAGGCGGATTATTTGAGGTTACAAGTTTGAGACCAGCCTGGCCAATATGGTGAAACCCCGTTTCTTCTAAAAATACAAAAATTAGCCAGGCATGGTGGCTCATGCCTGTAGTCCCAGCTACTCAGGAGCCTGAGGCAGCAGAATCACTGAACCCAGGAGCAGAGGTTGCAGTGAGCCAAGATCGCGCCACTGCACTCCAGCCTGGGTGACAGAGAGAGACTCCATCTCAAAACTAACTAACTAACTAACTAAATAAATAAATAAATAAATAAATAAATAAATAAAGCCAGGTATTGTGGCATGCATCTGTAGTCCCAGCTTCTCGACAGGCTGAGGCATGAGGATTGCTTGAGCCTGGGGGGTCGCACCACTGCCTTCCAGCCTGAGTGACAAAGAAACACCCTATCTCAAAATAATAATAATAAAAAAATAACTTCTTAGAAAGAGTTTTCAGATCATACACACACAGAGAAGCTGGAAAAGCAGTTTTGTCTTATTTATCCAGCACCTCGAAGTATACAGTCTTCACACACTCTCTCCCACCACTGAGTATGGGCTGCGGATGGTGGTGATGGGAAATGTCTTCACATATTTCAACAATGTTCAGACAGATGGTCTTGAAGAGAAACTGTTTGTGTTGTTGTTTTTCTGATCAAACATTTGCTTCATTGAAATAAAATTAATGTTCTTCCCACTTTCCTACTTCAGCATGCTGTCTCTTTAGCCTTCCTAAGCCAACAGATTTTTTCCCTCCTGCCACAACACCTATCACATGTCTTCTATGCTCCGCTTCAACAAATCTTGAAATCAATGTCTACTTTCATAGATTTCCAACTTTTAAAACACATCTTTCAATTCTTAAAAAATAACCAACTAGAGATTCCATTGTAATGAGTATTTTCAAATATTTTCATAATTAATATCTAAGAATGTGCTTAATTTGACTGCAATATGTCATTAAAGCACTTTCTTCTTTGAGTTCCTAACTACTAGAGCTGTGATCGTTTCCAATAAATCACTTCCTTATTCTTTTGTTGGCACCCTGCATCAGCTCAGATTCCTTCTCCTTTCTTGTTTCTCAAGTTATTTTATAAATATCACTTTCATTATTCAGACAACACAAGTGTTGCCATTGTTTTTCTTCAGTGCCAACTTAACCTGCGCCTTTTTTGCTTTTTATTCTGTCTAATTTCCTTGTGGAACCTCAGGTGTCTGTGGGAAGTGCTTTTACTTTTGTCTGGCATCCTCTCTTCTCTCATCACTCTGACTATCTTTACAGACCTGTTATTTCTGTATAGATTTCTACTTCCAAGTCTTCACCATGGTTTTCTGTCTGTGTACTCCTTTAAACATTTCTGCAGCTATTTTGCTCTTTAAATCTGTTGGCTTGCTTCCTTCCCTGGGGAATTTTCTTTATATCATTTTTTAAACATGAACCACCACTTTGTGACATCTGGAAAGGTGAGAAGGGATTCTCTACCCTTGATTATCTTTCTTATATTTTTTAATTTCCTCTTGTTCTCATAGGGACATTCTTAACCTCCAAAAAGCTCTACCAAATTTTGCAGTTTTGAGAAATTAATTTCAGCTATTACCATAGCAGGTTCAGGAAAGCCAACATCTTTCACGTTACATTATACAACCTTTATTTTTCCTTGTATGAAAGTACTATCAGTTCCTCTGACACACTTTTCCTAGGATTTTTTCATAAATATTTACAACTATGAGCCTGTATATTTAAATTAGTATCTTTCAATCTGGTAACACAGAAAGGGTTACACATTAGACTTTATTGGCAAGTATTTGCAAATTAGGCAGACCTCATATCCTAGCCACTTATAAACTGCATGATTCTGTATCTCATTTTTCTCATGGAGAAATAGAGATAATATTAACTTGGTTTTTGCTAATTGTTGTTAGCTCTGTAGTTCTATCACATTTCAGACCTATTTATTGCATGTGATATTTTTCACAAGATGCTTAAATCTCTGACTTTTAATTTCCTTATCTGTAAAATAAAAATAATAATACTTCCCCTTACAGAAGATGTTGTATATTTTAGCAACAATGATTATAAAGCATCTGATATTCAATAAATAATGGTATTGTCAATGTTGATGACTATAATTATCATGATTCATCTTTCAATGTTTATTCTGAGAGCTAAAATGATCTCTTAATATTTGTTTTTTTAAAACATGCTGAGAAGCTATTATATGCTTAAATATATTTGTATTTGTTTTAAATGAGAGCTGAGGTTACTTTAATTTCCCATGTTTATTTCTCTCTCTATTTCTCCTTTCCAGTTACACATTGTACAGTTTGAATGCCATATCCGGAATCTCCATAGTATCCACGCCAACAAGCCAGTGCTCAGAGCCCTGAATACAGACATTTACACACGGTAGATCTTCCCCTATAGATTCAGTATTGAGGTTTTGAACTAATATGTACAGTTTCTAAAATTCCAATTTCCACCAACATTATTTTTCCTTTATGTAACATTTACTGAGTGTCCAAATTATGCCAGGCAATATGCTGGCCTCTAGGAGTACAAAGGTGAAGATAATGTCCTTGCCCAAAATGATTTTACAAAGTGGTGGGAGGTACCACCACATAAAACAGAGATTTACAGTACAAAGTGATTTTATCATATCTGTCAAGGTTCTTTGATCTCCTAGTTTTCAGTCTACCTTTTATTCTTCCCAAATCTATCTTTTAACTTTTTTTCAAATCCTATGTTAATTCTTGCTTTCTTCTAGGATTTGGATTAAAATTACAAGAAGCCATAGTCTTCCCCTACTCACTTTAATTTTCTAACAGAAATCTTTACTCATGTCCCTGTGAGTCCTTCAAACAACAAAAAAGAAACTCTTCACACAAAAAAAGAGTAGAGTAGAATACAATAAATTATTCTATACACATTACATAGATCCAACAATTATAATTATTTAATCATATATGCTTCATACAAATCCCAGGCATTATTTTACTCCTAAATACATTATTTGTATTTCTCACAAATAAATACATTCTCCTAACTCTAATACCATTACCCACCTACAAAAAATTTTACAATTAATTTTTCCAGTCATCTATTATCCATTAAAACATCCATTTCATACTTATGAAACAAATGCCATGTTATGTTCATGAATCTCTGGGTCAGAAATTTGGGCAGTGCTCCACTAAGTGATTCTTTTGCTCTCTATGGTTACTCAATGGTACTCACCTGGTGATGAGCCAGTCTAGATTATTCAAGACTGACTTATATGCACCCTGCTTTAGGTGGGATGATCTGGGCTGTTGAATGGAGTGTCTACGTGTATACTCACCAGCATGACAGTCTCGAGTAGTTGAACTTCCTAGATAAAGCTTGGCCTCTCATGAGTGAGTAACCCAAGATTACTAGCCAAAGAATGTATGACTTTTAATGACCTAATTTCAGAAGTCATTGAAAGCAGCCACAAGTCTGTCTACATGCAAGGAGAAGAGTTAGTATGGAAGGAATGTAAAATAAATTTGAGGACATGTCTTGAAAAAGCAGCAGTCTTCAATATCATATAATACTAATTTCATGTTTTAAAATTTCTCAATTTTCTCAAAAATATCTCTTTATACTTGATGTTCGAATCAGGCTCCATATAAGTTCTACATATTGCATTTGGTTGTTACTTTTCTTTAGTCTTTTTTAAGCCTTTAAATTCTAAAGGCTGATTAGATTTACATTAGCATTCTGGAAGAATCATTTTTGAAGTGGTCTTCTAGGTAGCATGTTGCATCACAATGAGACACATAGTGTCTGGCTGTCACATTATTAGTGATTGACCAGTTATTTCAGGAAGTGGCAGCTTGTTCCCTCCATTGTGAACTCATTGTTGGTTGGTTGGTGTTGGTTTACATCTTGAAATCAGTAAATAATCCTTGGGCTGAAACTTATGATCTTTGAGAGTAAGCACCCCCTATCAACTTTTTAAAAAAATGTTTTTCTTAAGTAGTTTATTATTCTTGCTTAATATAATCATTAAGTAGTGGTGGCAAAATGGTGACTTTCTGTGTTTCCAATATATGTATTAATATTAACTTGAATTCACATATAAAAAAGAATTTTTTATCAAACAAGGTTATTCTGTCAGTTAAAATACACTTCTTAGAGAAAAAAAGAAGAAAACATTTAATGTTTTTTCTTCATTACTGATCTTCTGAGTAAAGTAACTAATGTACTCACTATCCTCAATGATAAAAAGATTTACCGTTTTCAGTTTTTTATATTTTTGAAAATTATTTTTAGCTACGTGGATATAAAATATGTAATTAATAGTTACCACTTATGATTATTAAAATTAATTACAATTATTATTTTTTATTCTTAAATGATTACATCTTTGGCATCAAGATCCCCTTAGAGTTGTCACTGTGATTTTTCGGCATAACAACATTAGCTTATGATAGCTTTCTTGACTTCTAGCACAGAAAACTATTCCACAATCTTTTTGTACATATCCTGCCCTAGACCCAGAACAAGTTATTTTTCCAAGCAGCCCTAATTACTTTTAGTAAGAAATAATATTTAGAGAACATGATGTGTACAGGTGAGTGCTCAGAGCTACTGAGTTGTCATTGCTTCTAGGCATTTTCAGTGGACAGAGATGGGGAAAATTTTTTAACAACAACAGCAACAAAAACTATGAGTTTATACTTAACATTAAATTCAATATTATAGTTTTTCCTTAACTTTTTAAAATTTTATAATTTTAACTCCTTTCTCCTACAAGAAAAATTTTAAAAATACAAACTTTTATTTACTTTATTCTACAACACATAAAATAACATTTAAACAACCATAGTGGTGTCCTAACTAGAGCAATAAAGCTGAATAAAGGTTTGCCTTAGGTTTCCTTTGTACCTATCCCCTTTAAGGATGTACTGCCACAATACTATGTTCTGAATCATGTTGAAATTATTAATTTTTGCCTGTGTGGTTAATCACCAACTTGATATGTTCATTTGTTTTAGTTTGATCTGAATTTTTAAGACTTGCACTTTTATGTAATTTATTTTTAATATATACAAATCTTGCGTGTCTTAAGTCAGAATTAATAACAACATATGCTCAGAAACATCTCACTTTCATTCTTATCCTCTCCCTCTGTTCCCTGCCACCTGTATAAACAAACGTTTTTATTAGTTTTCATTTTGGCCTTCCAGTTTTGTTTTGTTTTGTTTTGTTTTTTACAAATATAAGCACAAATGTTACTATACTATATTTAATACTTTGCTTCCTATTTTTGTTTCCCCTGTGGGCACCAGACATAGCTGTATATTTATTTATTCGTGAAATTTCTTTACTGTCCTCTTTCAGAAGAAGGAATAATTAATGGTTAAAATTCTAAAATAAAAGTAAATGATAAGTTGAACAGAGAAGTTACTTTGTTGTTACTGAGAATAACGAGTGATGGAGATACCTGGGTAGGATGTTCTGGAAAGATACCTATGGGATTATGATATGAATCAGGTGAGAGGAGGGATGAGATAAATCCAGCTGTGTAGAAAGCAGACAGGGGCATATGTTTGACACATTCTAGAAACTGAGGGCAGGCCAGTGAATTTGAAATTTGTAGCATGGAAGCAAAGAGTTATAGTAGGACGTTGGAGAAATAGACAACTTGCAGACCAACAAAATTAATTTTTAAAAATTTAAATATGATGGAAAGCCACAGAATGGGTTAGGATGGAGAAGTAACAGAATTTCATCCTTAGCTAGTTTGCTTTGTCAGCACAGTGCTACAAAATCACTTTTGTCCTCCTCTCAATGCTTTAACTTCTTTGAAGCTTTCTGTAATACAAAGGCATTTGATCTCCCCTTTTATGTGTTACTACTTATGATTTTTACCATTTTCTCTTGTAATTTTTTGTTCATTTTGACTGTTATCACTTGCACCTATGAGTACTTTGAGGGGATAGTGTAGTATTTATCTTTGAATCTACAATGGATAACAGATGCATAACACATGTGGTACTCCAAGGAATTTTTAAAAATAAATAAATCAAAAGATGATACTAAAGTAAATTTTCCTCACAGACACTTTTTCTTTTTTTTTTTTTTGAGACAGAGTTTTGCTCTTGTTGCCCAGTCTGGAATGCAATGGCCTGATCTCGGCTCACTGCAACCTCCGCCTCCTGGGATCAAGTGATTCTCCTGCCTCAGCATCCTGAGTAGCTGGGATTACAGGCATGTGCCATCACATCTGGCTAATTTTGTATTTTTGGTAGAGACAGGGTTTCTCTATGTTGGTCAGGCTGGTCTCAAACTCCCGAACAGAGTTGATCCACCCGCCTTGGCCTCCCAGAGTGCTGGGATTACAGGCATGAGCCACCTTGCCTGGCATAGACACTTAATTTTTAAAATTGCATTCAAAATTTTTCTTTTAAAAATTTTATTGTCAAAAATATTTGTAGAAGGTAATTTAGTTCTTTTGGAAACTCTAACCTACATTTTTACCACCAAATTCAAATCAGTTTTATACAAAATCTACCCACCCTCATGAAGTCATCTTGAAAACCATTATTCCTTTTGCTTCTATATCATTTTGTGGGAGAATTCTTATTCAGTTTTACCTGGTTTTAAAGTTATAAGGGAGTATGGGGTGTGTGTGTGTTTACATGTGTCACATTTTTTACTAAGTAAAGTCCCAGAAGACGAGAACCACTTCTCCTTTAACAAATTGTATTTTATAATGCATGACACATGCATATAGCAAATTAAGCTTTGAGTAATTTTATTTCACAGAATGAATTTCAAAAACCAGATGAGTTTTGCTGGGTGTTTCAAGATGGCCAAACAGGAACAGCTCCAGTCTACAGCTCCCAGCGTGATCAATGCAGAAGAAAGGTGATTTCTGCATTTCCAACTGGGGTACTTGGTTCATCTCATTGGGACTGGTTGGACAGTGGGTGCAGCCCACAAAGGGTGAGCCGAAGCAGGGCAGGGAAGCACAAGGGGTCAGGGGATTTCCCTTTCCTAGCAAAGGGAAGCTGTGACAGACTACCTGGAAAAACGGGGCACTCTCGCCCAAATACGATGCTTTTCCCAAAGTCTTAGCAACCGACAGACGAGGTGATTCTCTCCAGTTCCTGGCTTAGCAGGTTCCGCACTCACGGAGTCTTGCTCACTGCTAGTACAGCAGGCTGAGTTCAATCTGCGAGGTGGCAGCCTGGCAGGGGGAGGAGCATATGCCATTGCCAAGGCTTGAGTAGGTAAACAAAGCAGCTGGAAGGTCGAACTGGGCAGAACCCACTGCAGCTCAACAAGGCCAACTACCTCTACACTCCACCTCTGCGGGCAGGGCATAGCAGAACAGAAAAGCAGGCAACTTCTGCAGACTTAAACGTCCCTGTCTGACAGCTCTGAAGAGAGTAGTCATTCTCCCAGCAGGGCGTTTGAGCTCTGAGGACAGACAGACTGCTGCCTCAAGTGGGTCCCTGAGCCCCGTGCAGCCAAACTGGGAGACACCTGCCAGTTGGAGCGGACAGACACCTCATATAGGCAGCTGCCTCTCTGGGACAAAGCTTCCAGAGGAAGGATCAGGCAGCAATATTTACTGTTCTGCAATATTTGCTGTTGGGCAGCCTCCACTGGTGATACCCTGGCAAACAGGGTCTGGAGTGGAACTCCAGTAAACTCCAACAGACCTGCAGCTGAGGGACCTGCAGCTGAGGGACCTGACTGTTAGAAGGAAAACTAACAAACAGAAAGGAATAGCATCAACATCTACAAAAAGGACATCTACAACAAAACACCTTTGTGACAGTGTAGGTCATCAACATCAAAGACCAAAGGTAGATAAAAACCACAAAGATGGGGAGAAACCAGAGCAGAAAAGCTGAAAATTCTAAAAAGCAGAGCACTTATTCTCCTCCAAAGGATTGCAGCTCCTCACCAGCAACGGAACAAAGCTGGACAGAGAATGACTTTGAAGAGTTGACAGAAGTAGGCTTCAGAAGGTCAGTAATAACAAACTTCTCTGAGCCAAAGGAGGATGTTTGAACCCATTGCAAGGAAGCTAAAAACCTTGAAAAAAGATTAGATGAATGGCTAAGTACTATAAACAGTGTAGAGAAGACCTTAAATGACCTGATGGAGCTGAAAACAATGGCACGAGAACTTCGTGACACATGCACAAGCTGCAATAGCCAATTCGATCAAGTGGAAGAAAGGGTATCAGTGATTGAAGATCAAATTTATGAAATAAAGTGAGAAAACAAGGTTAGAGAAAAAAAGTGAAAAGAAACAAACAAAGCCTCCAAGAAGTATGGGACTATGGGAAAAGACCAAATCTACGTTTGAGTGGTGTACATGAAAACAATGGGGAGAATGGAACCAAGTTGGAGAACACTCTTCAGGATATTGTCCAGAAGAACTTCCCTAACCTAGCTACATTCCCTAACCTAGGCCAACATTCAAATTCAGGAAATACACAGAACACCACAAAGATACTCCTCGAAAAGGTCAATGCCAAGACATGATTGTCAGATTCAACAAGGTGGAAATGAAGGAAAAAGTGTTAAGAGCAACCAGAGAGAAAGGTCGAGTTACCCACAAAGGGAAGCCCATCAGACTAACAGGGGCTCTATCAGGAGAAACCCTACAAGCCAGAAGAGAGGGGGGGCCAATATTCAACATCCTTAAAGAAAAGAATTTTCAACCCATAATTTCATATCCAGCCAGACTAAGCTTCATAAGTGAAGGAAAATAAAATCCTTTAAAGGTAAGCAAATACTGAGAGATTCTGTCACCACCAGGCGTGCCTTAAAAGGGCTCCAGAAGGAAGCACTAAACATGGAAAGAAACAACCAGTACCAGCCACTGCAAAAACATGCCAAATTGTAAAGACCACCAATGCTAGGAAGAAACTGCATCAATTAACAGGCAAAATAACCAGCAAACATCATAATGATAGTATAAAATTCACACATAATATTATTAACCTTAAATGTAAATGGGCTAAATGCCCCCAATTAAAAGACACAGACTGGGAAATTGGATAAGGAGTCAAGACCCATCAGTGTGCTATATTCAGGAGAACAATCTCACGTGCAAAGATGCACATAGCCTCAAAATAAAGAGATGGAGGAAGATTTACCAAGCAAATGGAAAGCAAAAAAAGCAGAGGTTGCAATCCTAGTCTCTGATAAAACAGACTTTAGACCAACAAAGATCAAAAGAGACAAAGAAGGCCATTACATAATGGTAAAGTGATTAATTCAACAAGAAGAGCTAACTATCCTAAATATATATGAACCCAATACAGGAGCACCCAGATTCATAAAGCAAGTCCTTAGAGACCTACAAAGAGACTGAGACTCCCACACAATAATAATGGGAGACTTTAACACCCCACTGTCCATATTAGACAGATAAACAAGACAAAAGGTTAACAAGGATATCCAGGACCTGAACTCAGCTCTGCAACAAGCAGACCTAATAGACATCTACAGAACGCTCCACCACAAATCAACAGAATATTCATTCTTCTCAGCACCACATCACACATATTCTAAAACTGACCACACAATTGGAAGTAAAGCACTCCTCAGCAAATATAAAAGAACAGAAACCACAACAAACTGTCTCTCACACCACAGTGCAATCAAATTAGAACTCAGGATTAATAAAATCTCTCAAAACCACACAACTACATGGAAACTGAACAAGTTGCTCCTAAAAGAATACTGAGTAAATAATGAAATGAAGGCAGAAATAAGGATGTTCTTTGAAACCAATGAGAACAAAGACACAACGTACCAAAATATCTGGGACACATTTAAAGCAGAGTGTCAAGGGAAATTTATAGCACTAAATGCCCACAAGAGAAAGCAGGAAGGATCTAAAATTGACAACTTAACATCACAATTAAAAGAAGTATAGAAGCAAGAGCAAACAAATTCAAAAGCTAGCAGAAGGCAAGAAATAACTAAGATCAGAGCAGAACTAAAAGAGATAGAGACATAAAAATCCTTCAAAAAATCAAGGAAACCAGGAGCTGGTTTTTTGAAAAGATCAACAAAATAGATAGAGTGCTAGCAAGACTAATAAAGAAGAAAAGAGGGAAGAATCAATAGACACAATAAAAAATGATAAAGAGGATATCACCACTAATCCCACAGAAATACAAACTACCGTGAGAGAATACTATAAACACTTCCATGCAAATAAACTAGAAAATCTAGAAGAAATGGAGAAATTCCTGGACACATACACCCTCCCAAGACTAAACCAGGAAGAAGTTGAGTCTCTGAATAGACCAATAACAGGCTCTGAAATAGAGGCAATAATTAATAGCCTAACAACCAAAAAAAGTCCAGGAACAGACAGATTAACAGCCGATTCTACCAGAGGTATAAAGAGGAGCTGGTACCATGCCTTCTGAAACTATTCCAATTAATAGAAAAAGAGGGAATCCTCCCTAACTTATGTTACGAGGCCAACATCATCCTGAGACCAAAGCCTGGCAGAGACACAACAAAAAAGAGAATTTTGGACCAATATCCCTGATGAACATCAGTGCGAAAATCCTTAATAAAATACTGGCAAACCAAATCCAGCAGTGCATCAAAAAGCTTATCCAATACGATGAAGTCGGCTTCATCCATCGGATGCAAGGCTGGTTCAACATACACAAATCAATAAATGTAATCCATCACATAAACAGGCCCAATGACAGAAACCACATGATAATCTCAACAGATGCAGAAAAGGCCTTCGACAAAATTCAACAGCCCTTCATGTTAAAAACTCTCAATAAACTAGGTATTGATGCAATGTATCTCAAAATAAGAAGAGCTATTTATGACAAACCCACAGCCAATATCATATTGAATGGGCAACAAGTGGAAGCATTCCCTTTGAAAACCGGCACAAGACAAGGATGCCCTCTCTCACCACTCCTATTCAACATAGTGTTGGCATTTCTAGCCAGGGCAATCAGGCAAGAGAAAGAAACAAAGGTATTCAATTAGGAAAACAGGAAGTCAAATTGTCCCTGTTTGCAGATGACATGATTGTATCCTTAGAAAACCCCATCATCTCAGCCCAAAATATCCTTAAGCTGATAAGCAACTTCAGCAAAGTCTCAGGATACAAAATCAAGTGCAAAAATCACAAGCATTCCTATACATGAATAACAGACAAACAGAGAGCCAAATCATGAGTAAACTCCCATTCACAATTGCTTCAAAGAGAAAAAAATACCTAGGAATCCAACTTACAAGGGATGTGAAGGACCTCTTCAAGGAGAACTACAAACCACTGCTCTATGAAATAAAAGAGGACACAAACAAATGGAAGAATATTCCATGCTCATGGCTAGGAAGAATCAATATCGTGAAAATGGCCATACTGCCCAAAGTAATTTATATATCCAATGCCATCCCCATCAAGCCACCAATGACTTTCTTCACAGAATTGGAAAAAACTACTTTAAAGTTCATATGTAACCAAAAAGTAGCCTGCATTGCCAAGACAATCCTAAGCCAAAAGAACAAAGCTGGAGGCATCACACTACCTGACTTTAAACTATACTACAATGCTATAGTAACCAAAACTGTATGGTACTGGTACCAAAACAGATATATAGAACAATAGAACAGAACAGCGGCCTCAGAAATAACACCACACATCTACAACCATCTGATCTTTGACAAACCTGACAAAAACAAGAAATGGGGAAAGGATTCCCTATTTAATAAGTGGTGCTGGGAAAACTGGCTAGCTATATGTAGAAAACTGAAACTGGATCCCTTCCTTACACCTTATACAAAAATTAAGTCAAGATGGATTAAAGACTTAAATGTTAGACCTAAAACCATAAAAACCCTAGAAGAAAACCTAGGCAATACCATTCAGGACATAGGCATGGGGAAGGACTTCATGTCTAGAACACCAAAAGCAATGGCAACAAAAGCCAAAATAGACAAATGGGATCTAATTAAACTAAAGAGCTTCTGCACAGTAAAAGAAACTATCATCACAGTGAACAGGCAACCAACAGAATGGGAGAAAATTTTTGCAATCTACCCATCTGACAAATGGCTAATATCCAGAATCCACAAAGAACTCAAAGAAATTTTTACAAGAAAAAAACAAACAATCCCATCAAATAGTAGGCAAATGATATGAACAGACACTTCTCAAAAGAAGACATCTATGATGCCAACAGACACATGAAAAAATGCTCATCACCACTGGTCATCAGAGAAATGCAAATCAAATCCACAATGAGATACCATCTCATGCCAGTTAGAATGACAATCATTAAAAAGTCAGGAAACAGCAGATGCTAGAGAGGATGTGGAGAAATAGGAATGCTTTTACACTGTCAGTGGGAGTGTAAATTAGTTCAACCATTGTGGAAGACAGTGTGGCAATTCCTCAAAGAACTAGAACTAGAATTACCATTTGACTGAGTAATCCCATTACTGGGTATACCCCAGGGATTATAAATGATGCTACTAGAAAGACACATGCACATGTATGTTTATTGCAGCACTATTCACAACAGCAAAGACTTGGAACCAACCCAAATGTCCATGAATGATAGACTGGATTAAGAAAATGTGGCACATATACACCACGGAATACTATGCAGCCATAAAAAAGGATAAGTGCATGTCCTATGTAGGGACATGGATGAAGCTGGAAACCATCACTCTCAGTAAACTATCACAAGGACAGAAAACCAAACACCGCATGTTCTCACTCATAGGTGGGAATTGAACAATGAGATCACTTGGACACAGGGCGGGGAACATCACTCACCAGGGCCTGTTGGGGGATGGGGGCCTGGGGGAGGGATAGCATTAGGAGAAATCCCTAATGTAAATGATGAGTTGATGGGTGCAGCAAACCAACATGGCACATGTATACCTATGTATCAAACTTGCACATTGTGCACATGTACCCTAGATCTTAAAGTATAATAACAAATAAAATTAATAAATAAATAATCAAATGAGTTAATTCCATTCTTTACCCTCAGTCTTCCTTGATTTCTTCCATCCTGTTTTATTAATCAAACTAACCCTATCATCTGACCAAAGCAGCCTTAATATTCTCTTTAGCTTGTCTGAACTTTGTAGAGGGGTTTTTTTTGTTCCTGATTATAGGTCCCTGATCTGCTTTTTTAGAGCATCTACTTCACAAAACTTGTAATTATTAATTCTACCTCTGCTTCTTTGAAATGTAAATCTTCTCCCAGACTCTTGACAATTTTACAACACAGAAATGTCTTTCTGAAGGACTTTCGTCAAGCCATTCCTTTGAAACGCAATGATCAAGAAAGATAATACCCATCTCCTAGTCTCAGTAGGAGGGTAGGAACCTAATTTCAATAAAGTATAATTAGCAAACACAGCCTAAACACATTGATCAACCTCCCATTAAAATTTTCCAGTATTTTTCTACCAGATCACCTATTGCTTAAAACCCTCCTGTCTTTTGTTTCCACAGAGTTGAGTTCAATCTCTCCTCTCTATTGCAATAGTCTTGAATAAAATCTTCCTTGCCTCTGAACTCTCTCTGATAAAATTTGTATTTGATACATCCCTCTTGTAAATTTCCATTGCGGGTGACTATTTTCCTCTTGTTGGCTGATACGGGAATAGGCAGATATATTGAGGGACTACAGATTGGATCTAGTGTATTGAATCTAGTGTATTTTTTAAATTGGATCTAGTGTATTCAAACTCCAAAAGATAGTTCATTTATTATTTAGTCCTTTCTGCGTATGTGGTCAAACAGGTTTTGAATGATTTGTGCCTGTATCATGGGCATAGTGGCTCTTTCTTATCTTCTACTTAGACTTTTGACAGCTTTACAGAAGTCCATATGGCCACCAGATTTTGCCAACAAATTTGTGCTGCACCATGGGTAGCATGGTTTACCTTTTCTCTTCTACTTATCTATTTAATGCTTTAAATCTGGGTCATCTACTGTGGTAAAGTGGTTGCCATATGGACTCCCTTCTGGAGGTACCACATTTAAAAAATAATTTTATATAAAATTAAGGAAGGGACAGAAAGTTTCTTATCTTCATTTAGCAGACAAGGCTGCAGTAAAGATAACCTAAGCGACTTGGTCAAGGTAGAGCAAAGATTAGCATCATGTGTCCTATTCTGGATCTTTAAACAAAGTAATTTTCTGTCCCCTCTGATAGAGTTGCTACAGAGGAGAGAGCTCCTTCAGCATAACATGCTTTCAGGAGAAAATTTGTTCAAACTCCCTTCAGGAAAAACAAATTTCCCAGACTGATGGTAAATACTATAACGGCATTGATGTAATTGACTGATTTTTTAATTCTAATATATAAACTTTAAAATACTGAAAATCAAGGTACTTTTGAAATGAATCCATCATTTGTTTAATCTTTAATAAAGACTAATAAATACACAGTGGAAGAAAAATAACACAAAATTGTCTGAAAACTACAGAGGTCTCTATTGCTCTTACTTTGTTTTTAATTGCAAACAGAACAGGAATAAACAAATGCAAATTTGGACATTAGAACATGTCCAACTATAGAAACATGAAATAAATAAATGAACTCCGTACAAAAAACAGGCTGAAAATGGTTTACATGATAAATGATATGCTAAAGAAATAAGGACAAAAATCATTCTGTAGCTGTGTATTAGTGAGAGTTAATTTTCTCTGTAAGATCAGAGGAAGAAAACAGTGGATCTTCAAAGTTAACATCCCTTCTTTTTTAATTTTCTCTTTAGATTATCCTCGATACTTGGATAATGTCCATATATGGTGAGTTTGTTAAATAATATGCTTTCCTCATCTCTGGAAAAACTACATAATGAATCTTTATTCTGATACTGCTGTCATTAGGTGTATTATCTTTCTTGTGCTTAACCTATAGATGCACACTTTTCCACCCCTTTTGTTTTGTTTTCTTGTGGATTCTCCTTTACATATATTTTGAATAGGTAATGCAGTCATAAATATGGTGAATGATTGCTTAGGATACTAATCATTTCCTCCTCCACGTGATTGAGAGTAGAACTACATTTCTCCTCCCAACAGGTGCTGATTTTGGCCATGTAACTTTATTTTATGTTATGGTGAGTAGATTAAATCTCTGAAATTTTAGGCTTTGTCATGTCACTTGCTTTAATCAAATAAATATTTACTGGTGTGACACAAGCAAACACCTGAAGCTTACTGGCACGATGAGGTATTGATTCATGTTTCTGGCATCACCACAGGCAGATAATGTGCTGGCTAGCCTGGCTGTCTACGAAAAATAAAAAAAAAAAACACGGGGAATATACTTAAACCCAACCTGAATCTTGGACTCAAGCCTAACTCTGCCCAGCTTAGATCAATTGAACTGCAGCCAAACCAGAGGTACCTGAAATAGAATAAATGATCATTGATTTAAGCCATTAAATTTAGGAGTGGTTTGTTATTCAGCCTTATGTGTAGCTAACCACTAGACAACAGTGTACACGTTCAAAATATATAGTAAAAGAAATTATTATTCTTCCTCCTTTTCTAACCAACCACATTTTTGCCCAGAATGAAATATATTTTATATATATATAAAATCAATTGCTTAAATATTCTTCAAAACATGCATACACAAGTAAACATATATTTACAAACAGACATAAATCCATCTCAAAAAAGATCATATATCACACATACAATTCTGTTTCATTTTTTTCACTTAATTTGCCTTCAGAATACTTCTATATTGGTATGAAAATATCTGCCTCATTCTTTGTAATGCCTCAATTACATTCCCTTTATAAAACTGTCATAACATGTTAAAGTAGCCTTCATTTTTAGACATTATAGATTCTTCCTGAACTTTTCACTCTCCTCCATTTTGAAGAATCTTCATGCTATTATGAGTACTTGATTTGAAAGTTTTATCTCCTATTATTACTTTTTCAATAGCAGTTAAAGTTAGTACATGTTTATCATTTAGCAAGGGCTGCTTAACTACACTATCTCATTTAATCTTCACACTAATCTTGTCAGACAAATATAACCATAACATCACAATTTTACTGAAGTTGAAAAAGTTAAGAGTTCACCCCACTCACAGATGATATGACTGAGCTTTCAAATTCAGGCTCTCCATTTTACAATATTGATTGACCCATTATAGATGTGTTGAAAATGCACAGGTTTCAATGCTTGCTAACCCAAATTGTATTATTTCATGTCAAATAAAGGAACATTCTCTTTCTACAGATGGGGCAGAAGTAGAGATTAAATAGAGAAATAATAAAATATTATGCATTCATTTACTCAATACCTATTTATTGCACATTTAGTACCTACAAAGCACTGTACTATGCAATGTAGCTAGCCTAGAATACATATTTGAAAATAAACACAAATTTTATGTTTATTCGCGTGTAAAATGTAACAGAATATGGCACCCCAAAATACACTACTTTGGCATAAGATTTATTTTGAGCTACAGGCAATTAAGATGAAGCTGATACAGAAAAAACTTTTCTGCCTTCCCCTTTGTGCCAAAAGCAATACATAAATTTGTAAAGGTATCTTCTCATCACTCTCTACCAGGAAAGATGAAGTTAATCGCTAGAGGCAACTCTAGATGCTTATCAGCCAAAAGATGGCATACAGAGGATTATATAGAGGAATCTATTTAACAAACCTTACTAACCAGCCCTTGTCTAACATTGGCTCTCCAAAATATTTACCTTCCCACAATTTGCCACATCTAGAAGCTCCAAGTCATCTTCTTTTTCTTGTCATTTTTGTACAAATTATTGTTCTCTGCTAAAATGCTATATAAGCTCAAGTTCTAACCATGCCATGAAGTTACTCATCACTGAATGTCCTCATGTATATGCACAATGTATGTGTTAATAAACTTTTGTCTGTTTTTCTCCTGTTATTATCTTTTTGGCCAATCTAATTTAAAAAAATTTTAATTGATACATGATTGTACATACTTATGGAATACAATGACATTTTGATACATGTATACAATGTGTAATGAGCAAACTAGGGTATGTAGGATATCCATCACCTCAAGCATTTACCATATATTTGGGTTGAGAAAAATTCAAATTTTCTCTTCTAGCTATATTGAAATATAAAATAAATTGTTGTTAACTATAGTCACAGTACTGTACTTTTGAACACTAGAACATATTCCCTCTGTCTGGTTGTATGTTTGTGCACATTATGTACCCGCTCTTCATTCTCCCTGGCCCTACTCAGCCACTGGAAGCTCTTCTACTCCACTTCCATGGGATCAAATATTTAGCTCCTATATACATGAGTGAGAATATATGATATTTGTCTTTCTGTACCTGGGTTAACTCACTTAATAATATGACTTCCAGTTCCATTCATATTGTGGCAAATGATTGGATTTTATTCTTTTTAATGGCTGAATAGTATGTAATTGTGCACATATGCCACATTTTATTTATCCATTTAACTGGTAATGGACATAAGTTGATTCTATACCTTGGCTATTGTGAATAATGCTGCAATAAATATGGAGGTACAGGTAACCTTTTGATTTACTAATTCTGTTCCTTTGGAGAAATACCCAGTACTGAGATTGCTGGAAGATATAATTGTTTACTTTTAGTTTTTTGAGAAACCTCCAAACTTTTCTTCATAATGTCTGTACTAATTCTCATTCTCACCAACAATGTATGAGTTCCCTTTACTTGATATTCTTGGCAACATTTGCTATTGTCTGTCTTTTTGGTAATAGTCATTTTAACTGGAGAGAGATGATATCTCATTAGGGTTTTGTTTTGCATTTCCATGATGGTTAGTGATACTGAGCATTTTTTTATATATATTTTGGCCATTTGTACATCTTCTGAAAAATGTGTATTCACATGGGCTTTGTCCAATTTTTGGAATTTTTTTTTCTATTCAATTGTCTCTATTCTTTGTATATTTTGGATATTAGTCCCTTATTGAATGGATAGCTTGCAAATACTTTCACCCATTCAACAAGTTGTCTCTTTCCTCTGCTGACTGTCACTTTTGATATGAAGAACCTTTTTAATTTGCTTATTTTTTTCAGTTGACTCTGTTTTTGAGATCTTACTAAAAAACATCTTCACCCAGATCAATGTTCTGAAGTGTTTTTCCACAGTTTTCTTCCAGTAGTTTCATGGTTTGAGGTCTGATATTTTGAGTTGATTTTTGCATATAGTGAGAGATAAGGGACTATTGTGGGATCTGGCCAGCAGCCCGCAATGCAACGGGACTCTTTCTTTGTTCCCAGGTGGATCAGCAGGTCGAGAAATAAAAGACACACACAAAATAGTGAAAACTGGGTCCAGGGGTGTCATCGTCTTCTGGTCCCGTGATGCTGCCAATGCACTGGATATGCCAGCATTTATTATTAAGTTTAGTGAGGGCGGGGGTAAGTTAGTGAGGGATTTAGTGTTGTTTGATTATGAGGTGAAATGGTCACATGGGGATGAAGTAATTCTTTAACATAACATCTGTATGCAGAAGTACAGTATACAGAGATAAGAATTTACAATAGAGCGTGTGCATCAGTAATTTCTAACAGAGCCTTAAAACAGAAACACAGTCTTTCCATAACCTATGATTAGCAAGATATTAATCAGCAGTAACAGTGCAGCAAAAGCTGGTTACAAACAATCCATAGAAACAGGACATAAAGCTAGACAACGGGTTAGACCAGAAATTCTCAGAAGGGTGTATGCCTTAACCCTAAGGAGGCCTAGAAGAGCTGTGGCAAGATGATGGCATTTATAGCCCTATCTTATCCATATGAACAGGCACCCCTCATGCATCCATTTATAGGCTCTCCACAAGGGTCTCATTCCATTCCCAGAGCTATGAATATCTGCTTTTCTGGGATAGGAATCTTGGTGATGTGAAACCTCCCCGACTGCATGTTCATTCATAGGCTCTTTTCAGGGGAAAGCACATCATACGCTGTTGGCTCATTCTGGCAGTCCAACCTGGCATTGTCTTTACACAATCTTGCATACAATTTTGTACTTAAAATAATCAGGAGCATTTCATCTTCCACTCCGTAGCAATAGTTTCAGGGGGGTCTCCCTACAAGGGACTTGTTTTATTCTTCTGCATATGGATATCCAATTTTCCCTGTACCATTTATTGAAGACACAGTCCTTTTCCCAATGTATATTCTTGGCTCCTTTGCTGAAAATGCATTGTCTGTAAATGTGTGGATTTATTTCTGGGTGCTCTTTCTAATCCATTGGTCTATGTATCTGGTTTTTTTTTTGTTTTGTTTTGTTTTGTTTTTGTTTGTTTTTTGGCCAGCACTATACTATTTTGGTTACCATGGCTTTGTAATATGAAGTTACATAGTGTTATGCCTCCAATGTTGTTCATTTTTGGCAGAATTACTTTGGCTACTAAGGGTATTTTATGGTATCATATGTATTGCAGGATTGTTTTTTCTAATTCTGTGAAAATAACTGCAGTTTGGTGGTTTTCTGTAGTGGTAACTTTTGACACCTTTCTCTTTCTCATTTGTGTGTCTGCTCTACCAATGAGTTTTATATTTTCTCCTTTTTTCATGATGGTAGATTTGTGGTTTGGCTTCCAGATGTAGGAATTCCTTATGAATTTCTTGTATGGTTGTTTTAGAGGTGATGAATTCCCTCTTTTTTATTATTGTCTGGTAAAGATTTTATTTCTCCTTTATTTTTGAAGGATAGCTTTTCTGTGTATGGTATTCTTGATTGACAATTTTTTTTTTCTTTCAGCACTTTGAAATACAGCATTCCATTTTCTCCTGCACTGTAAGTTTTCTGCTGATAAATCTGTTGGTACTTTATTAGCGATTTTCTTATAGGTGACTTGACATTTTGCTGTTTTTAATTCTATAGCTGGATGTCTACAATCTCTTAAAAGATTTAGGAAGTTTTCAGCTATTATTTTATGAAATAGGTTTGCTATGCTTTTGCCAATCTCTTCTCCTTCTGGAATTCCCTAAATTCAAATATTTGGTCATTTTATGGTGTCTCACAAGTCACATAGGCTTTTGTTATTATTTTTTTCCTGAATGCTTTTGTTTGTTTCTTTGTTTTTCTGCTGAGTTATTTCAAATTCAGAAGTCCTTTCTCCTGCTTGATCTGGTTCATTGTTGAAGCTCTGGATTATATTTTTATTTCATTCATTGAATTCTTCAGTTCCAGGATTTCTGTGTGGTTATTATTTTATCACATCTATCTCTTTCTTGAATTACTTATTCAGATAATCAAGTGTTTCCCTGACATCTTTGTATTATGTATTTGTTTTTTTCTTATATCTCACTGTCTTTGTTTTTTTTATTTTTTAAATTTTTTATTATATTTTAAGTTCTAGGGTACATGTGCACAATGTGGATGTTTGTTACATAGGTATACATGTGCCACTTTGGTTTGCTGCACCCATCAACTTGTCATTTACATTAGGTAATTCTCCTAATGCTATCCTTCCCCCAGGCCTCCACCCCTGACTGGCCCTGGTGTGTGATGTTCCCCGCCCTGTGTCCATGTGTTCTCATTGTTCAAAACCCACTTATGAGTGAGAACATATGAGGTTTGGTTTTCTGTCCTTGTGATAGTTTGCTTAGAATGATAGTTTCCAGCTTCATCCACGTCCCTGAAAAGGACATGAACTAATCCTTTTTTATGGCTGCATAGTATTCCATGATGTATTTGTACCACATTTTCTTAATCCAGTCTATCATTGATGGACATTTGGGTTGGTTCCAAGTCTTTGCTATTGTGAATAGTGCTGCAATAAACTTATGTGTGCATGTGTCTTTATTGTAGAATGATTTATAATCCTTTGGGTATATGCACAGTAATGGGATTGGTGGGTCAAATGGTATTTCTAGTTCTAGATCCTGAGGAACCACCGCACTATCTTCCACAATGGTTGAACTAGTTTACACTCACAAGAACAGGGTAAAACCGCTCCTGTTTCTCCACATCCTCTCCAACATCTGTTGTTTCCTGACTTTTTAATGATCGCCATTCTAACTGGAATGAGATGGTATCTCATTGTGGTTTTGATTTGCATTTCTTTGATGACTAGTAATGATGAACATTTTTCATATGTCTGTTGTCTGCATAAATATCTTCTTTTGAGAAATGTCTGTTCATATCCTTTGCCACTTTTTGATGGAATTGTTTTTTGTTTGTTTGTTTGTTTGTTTTTTGTAAATTTGTTTGAGTTCTTTGTAGATTCTGGATATTAGCCATTTGTCAGATGGGTAGATTGCAAAAATTTTCTCCTATTCTGTAGGTTGCCTGTTCACTCTGATGATAGTTTATTTTGCTGTGCAGAAGCTCTTTAGTTTAATTAGATCCCATTTGTCTATTTTGGCTTTTGTTGCCATTGCTTTTGGTGTTTTAGACATGAAGTCTTTCCCCATGCCTATGTCCTGAATGGTATTGCCTAGGTTTTCTTCTAGGGTTTTTATGGTTTTAGGTCTAACATTTAAGTCTTTAATCCATCTTGACTTACTTTTTGTATACCCTGTAAGGAAGGGATCCAGTGTCAGCTTTCTACATATAGTTGGCCAGTTCCCCCAGCACCATTTATTTAATATGGAATCCTTTCCCCATTTCTTGCTTTTGTCAGGTTTGTCAAAGATCAGATGGTTGTAGATGTGTGGTGTTATTTCTGAGGCCTCTGTTCTGTTCTATTGTTCTATATATCTGTTTTGGTACCAGTACTGTGCTGTTTTGGTTACTGTAGGCTTGCAGTATAGTTTGAAGTCAGGTAGCGTGATGCCTCCAGCTTTGTTCTTTTGGCTTAGGATTGTCTTGGCAATGTGGGCTCTTTTTTGGTTGCATATGAACTTTAAAGTGTTTTTTTCCAATTCTGTGAAGAAAGTCATTGGTAGCTTGATGGGGATAGCATTGAATCTGTAAATTACTTTGGGCAGTATGGCCATTTTCATGATATTGATTCTTCCTATCCATAAGCATGAAATTTTATTTAATTTATTTTTGTCCTCTTTTATTTCATTGAGCAGTGGTTTGTAGTTCTCCCTTAAGAGGTCCTTCACATCCCTTGTAATTTGGATTCCTGGGTATTTTATTCTCTTTGTAGTAATTGTGAATGGGAGTTCCCTCATGATTTTGCTCTTTGTTTGTCTGTTATTGGTGTATAGGAATGCTTCTGAATTTTGAACATTGATTTTGTATCCCGAGACTTTGCTGAAATTGCTTATCAGCTTAAGGAGATTTTTGGCCTAGATGATGGGGTTTTCTAAATATACAATCATGTCATCTGCAAACAGGGACAATATGTCTTCCTCTTTTCCTAATTGAATACCCTTTATTTCTTTCTCCTGCCTGATTGCCCTGGCCAGAACTTCCAACACTATGTTGAATAGGAGTGTTCAGAGAGGGCATCCCTGTATTGTGCCAGTTAGGGCACAAAAGATACCAGTTTAGGGTACCTGGTGCAAGAAATTTCTAAGCAGCAAAGCATTCAAGAGATGACTTGGGTGTTGTTAAAAGCATTCTGTTTTAAAAAGGATACAGAGCATTAAAGTTCAAAAAAATTGCACCCTGACAATGAAGTAGAAAAGAAAAACCCATTTTCTGGGGAGAAATTTAAGCTGGCTGCAGAAATTTGCCTAAGTAGCAAGGAGCCGAATGTTAATCCCTAAGACTATGGGAGAAATGTCTCCAGGCCATGTCAGAGACCTTTGCAGCAGCCCCTCCCATCACAGGCCTGAAGGCCCAGGAGGAAAAAGTGGTTTTGTGGGCTGGACCAAGGGTCCCTGTGCTGTGTGCAACCTAGGGACTTGGTGCCCTGTGTCCCAGCCACTCCAGCCATGGCTGAAAGGGGTCAACACAGAGCTTAGGCCATGGCTTCAGAGGGTGCAAGACCCAAGCCTCGGCAGCTTCCCCGTGGTGCTGAGCCTGTGAGTGCGCAGAAGTCAAGAATTGAGGTTTGGGAACTTCCTCCTAGATTTCAGAAGATGTATGGAAGCACCTAGATGCCCAAATAAAAGTTTGCTGCAGGGGCAGGGCCCTCATGTGGAACCCCTGCTAGGGCAGCAGAAGGGAAATGTGGTGTCAGAGCCCCCACACAGAGTCCCTAATGGGGGACTGCCTAGTGGAGCTGTGAGAAGAGGGCAACCATCCTCCAGAACCCAGATTGGTAGAGCCACCCACAGCTTGCACTGTGCACCTGGAAAAGCCACAGACACTCAATGCCCAGCCGTGAAAGCAGCTGAGAGAGAGGCTGAACTCTGCAAAGCCACAGGGGTGGAGTTGCCCAAGGCCATGGGAATCCACCTCTTGCATCAGCAGCGTGACCTGGATGCAAGACATGGAGTCAAAGGACATCATTCTGGAACTCTAAAATTTGACTGCCCTGCTGTATTTCATACTTGCATGAGGCCTGTAGCCCCTTTGTTTTGGCCAATTTTCCCATTTGGAATGGCTGTATTTATGAAATGCCTGTACCCATATTGTATCTAGGAAGTAACTAACTTGCTTTTGATTTTACAGACTCATAGGCAGAAGGGACTTGCATTGTCTCAGATGAGACTTTGGGGAACTGTCAGGAAGGCATGATTGGCATTGAAATGTGAGGACATGAGATTTGGGAGGGGCTGTGGTGGAATGATATGGTTTGGTTCTGTCCCTGCCCAAATCTCAACATGTATCGTATCTCCCAGAATTCCCATGTGTTGTGGGAGGGTCGCAGTGGGAGGTTATTGAGTCATGGGGGCCGGTCTTTCCCATGCTATTCTTGTGATAGTGAATAAGTCTCACAAGATCTGATGGGTTTATTATCAGTTTCCACTTTGCCTCCTTCTCATTCTCTCTTGCCACTGCCATGTAAGAAGTGCTTTTCATCCTCCACCATGATTGTGAGACCTTCTCCAGCCACGTGGAACTATAAGTCCAATTAAACCTCTTTCTTTTGTAAATTTCCCAGTCTCAGGTATGTCTTTATAAGCAGAATGAAAATGGACAAATACGAGACTATTATCCCATGTTTATTAAAACTACTATTTCAAATATTCAACCCTTGATTAATAAAACTAATATTATGTTTCAGTCACTATGCTAAGCACCTTAGATCAGTTAACACATTTAATCATAGAAACAAAACCATGAAATAAGCATTATTATTGTCATTCTTATCTTGTAGGTGAATAAATCTCTAGAGGAAATAAATTAATTAAAATGCCCAAAATCACAGTTAATCTCTACTAAAGAATTTTATGATCATGCACTATAGTTTTAAAAGGACATTGGTTAAGATGTTAAATCATACATGAAAATATAAGTTGTTCCAGATAATACTTACATAAAAAGATTGAATGCCCTCTTGTGTATACATGACATGAAATATTTGTAGTACAATAACATATATGTGATATCTTTGGAATTTTTTATGTATGTGTGGAGTGTGTATGTATGTGCATGTAGATCCTTTGACCTAAAATGTATCCTTTATTAACAGATTCCAAATAAAAATATTTAGAGATTCAGGATTTCATGCAGGGATAAAAATATTAACCACAGTACTATTATAATAAAATCAAATTAGAAGCCAAATAATGTTTCTTGCCAATAGACTGTAAGGGAAATTATGATATATTCATAGGAAGCCCCTGGGAAAAATTTTGCAAGGATTTTTAATGATATTGTTAACTGTTTCTAGAGCAAAGTTAAGTAAAATATGCTGGATTTAAATATTTATAATCAATATATTCATTCATTTAGTGACTATTTCACTCATCAAAATGTATCAGGCAGTATTCCAGTAGAAGAGGAAGATGTAGTGCTGACTAAGACAAATGAAAGCCCTGTCCTCATGGGCATCTATTTTTCTATCTACCTATCTATTGACCTAACTGCTTACCTATCCACTTGTATCAGTCAGCTCTTACTGAATAACAAACCATTCCAAAACTCAGTGCTGTAAATCAATTATGTGCCATGAGATTCTTGCTTTTATATCAGAGGGTCATCCAGAGAAATATGCAGTAGAAATAAATTAATAAAAATGTCTAAAGTCACAAAGTTAATCTGTTTTTAAAAAGACAGAATTTTATAACCATGTGCTATACTTTTGAAAGGTCATAGGCTAAGATGTTAAATGATAAAGGAAAACATTAGTTTCTCTTGATAGTATCTATGTGGATAGATTTGATGCCGTCTCAAATATGCTGGGCATAGGGAGGAGCAGGGGTAAAAAGAAAAAAAAAAATCTGCTGGGCAGCTGGAGATACAGCAATAGAAGGCTCTAGAAATCAGGAGAAATCTGGAAGTCTGAAGAAGGAAGAAAATGACTGAAAATCTGAAGTAACCAGAAGAGACTTATTCCTTCCTCATGTGTATAACCCCAGCTAAACTTCCTTACCCTGAAAGTGACAGATGAGGCCAGGTGCGGTGGCTCATGTCTGTAATCCCAGCACTTTTTGGGAGGCCAAGGCAGGCGGATCACGAGGTCAGGAGTTCAAGACCAGCCTGGCCAACAGGGTGAAACCCCATCTCTACTGAAAAAAAAAAAAATTAGCCCAGTGTGGTGGCATGCACCTGTAATCCCAGCTATTTGGGAGGCTGAGGAAAGAGAATTGCTTGAACCCGGGAGGCAGAGATTGCAGTGAGCTGAGACCGTGCCACTGCCCAACAGTCTGGGCGACAGAGCAAGACTCTGTCTCAAGTAAATAAATAAATAAACAGAGTGGCTTGTAGTTTTTCTGAAATTCCCCAAACCAGTCTCATTGTGTCTACTCAGAATATACCAGCACTAGCTGGTCAAAGCCTCTTTCTCAGAATTTTATTTCCTCCTCTTAATAAGCTCCCTCTTTTAGACCTAAGGCATCATTATGAAATGAATTGTGCCCTTTCCTCAAGGCCTGCAACCAAGTTCTACAGAATCTTTCTTCACAGGACTTCAGGTACGAGTACCAACCTTATCAGGAGTCCACGTTCCATTTTAATGAGGTCTCTCCTCCAAACTTCTATTATTAACAGTTTCAGCCTCTTCCCTTTTTAACCTCCAGCCTTAGGGATGGTAAGTGCTTTCCACAGCAACTCCATGAAAATGTAGTGTTTCCTTTTGCTTTTTAATTAAGTTGTCACCAATATCTAATTATTAAGATTAGTTTATATGAAAATATCTCTGTTCAAACAGCTGGTGTGGTTCATATTTCTTGAATAGCTTCTGACTAACTTACATTAGATTGGTCAAAGCAAATCACATGACCAAGCCAATCTCTGTGGATGGAAATACCTACTCTTCCTCTGCTAGGAAATTCAAACATGATATATTTTCAGACTTGTGTGTCATAAGAAGGCAGTAATTGGAAATATGTTTGTGAATTATTGAAGGAAATAATTCAATAAATCCACTATTTTATACCAGATATTTATATATTCTCTATTTTCCATTTGTGGAAATGTATGATAACGACAATAGCTTACATTTATTCAATGCTTGCCAGTGCAGGCACTGATGCCTAATCTTCACAACAACCTTATGAAGTAGTTACTCTTATTACCCCTATTTAAAAAATAAGAAAACTGAGTTTGAATCATATTAATTAGTCCAAGGTCCCGCAGTTTTTATGTGACATATCCAGGATTCAAAAGCAACGGGCTGTTGGAGAGCTCACATGGTTAAACAACACAAAACATTTTGTCAAAATGAAATGTTGATGGCAGCAGCAGCCTGTCTGGAGTGTCCGCTGTCTTGACGCTAGCTCAGTGAGGGAGGCGCAGCTGGGACTGCCGCTCCATGGAGCTGGCAGGAGCTGGGAACAGGTGGTAGCCCCACCCTCTTACAAGTTGGAGGGGTGGGAGCCCCGCCCTCACAGGCACAGCTGCATCCGCTTAGTCTTGGCTGTGGATCTGTGTATCCCTGCACTTTGCGGGGATGGGAGGTGCAGGAAGCCCCCCTGCCCCCGCAGCCTCAGAAGTGCCTGTTCCTGCTGCCTGGTCTCTCCCCACTCCCAGTGCCCACTCCCGTTTCACAGCAAAGTTGTGGCTGAGCTCAGGCACCGTCATCACCTGGCGGGGTGTGCACGTGCCTGGGGCAGCAGTGAAATGCTAGCCCCCTGCCACCTTGGTGCCTTCTGGACTTTGGTCACCAACAAGCATGGGAGGGAGCCCGAGAGGGGCAGCTTGGCGTGGGCCTGTAGGCTCCCTGCAGCAACAGCCTGGTCGCCATGGGCACCGTGGCTGGCAGGTTAATGGTGGCAGAAAGCAAATAGGATCCTGGCTGGAAAGGGTCAAGTCCCTGGTGAAACCCCACCTTCAAGCCAGGGAGGGCCTGAGGCCTGGGCTCCACGTTGCCTTTTCCGTGCACCAGAGTGAAAACTCGCGCTTTTTCCGGGCCTGCCCATGGCCACCTACGGACCAATCTGGCATGCACTTCCTCCCCTATGAAGCCCATAAAAACCCTGGACTCATTTAGACTCGGGCAGATGACGGAGTAGCCTCCCTGTGGACAGGTGCTACCCACTGTGGGTGTCCTCTCTGCTGAGAGCTGGACACTCATTGGGACGACCTGACTGTGGAGAGGAGCTACCCAGTATAGGTCTCCTCTGAGACCTATACTGTTCTGTCACTAAATAAAGCAATTGTTTGCCTTATTCACCCTCCACCTGTCCACATACTTTATTCTTCCTGGACACAGGACAAGAACTCAGGACCCATCAAACGGTGGGACTGAAAGAACTGTAACACAAACAGGGCTGAAACATGCCCCTTGCTTGCCACATTGCAGGCGACAAGGAGGAGGTAAGAGGGAAAGAGAGAAGAGCTGCGGCCATTCAGGGAGCCCAGACCTGGGAGCTCCCTGAGCCAGGGCTGTGACACCTTCTTTGGGGCTCTGTGGTTCCCGGTGTCTCTAAGGTTCTGGGCGCAACCATGTCCCCTCGTGGCAGCCATAGAAGCTGCTTGTGCCTGGTCCAGCTGCAGCCTTGCAGGGAGCCAGCCCCCACGCTGGCACCTGGAGCTGCCCACCCCACCACAGCTGGCATGCCTAGCTGTACACAGTGACCATACCCCATGCTCACTCTCTCACACCCCCTCACTGCTCCACACTTGACTCGCCCTTGACAGGCATGGGAAACAGGCCAGTAGCATAAGCCAAGGTCAGCCTGCCAGGCTGAGTGAGTAGAACGAGCCTAGTGGCTCGTGAGTTTTGCTCAGGCAAAGGTGCCATCCTCTGTGGCCCCAAGGATCCTGTCACAATGTTACTAGAAATAGCAGTCCTTTGGTTTTAAATGTCCATCTCATCCATTGGGTAGTTACATGTTTATGCATGTTTAGAAATGATAATGTTTTTAAATTTTACCTTAAGTTCTGGGATACATGTGGAGAATGTGCAGGTTTGTTACATAGGTATATACATGTGCCATGGCAGTTTGCTGCACCTATCAGCCTGTCATCTAGGTCTTAAGCCCTGCATGCATTAGGTATTTGTTCTAATACTCTCCCTACCCTTGCCCCCCACCACACAAATATAATTTTTTAACAAAAATTGTCTGTTTTGAAAACTTTTTATTGTATGTACCAGAGAATATAGAAGAACATGCCATTAATTTATTTCCTGAATCCTCGTAGTGAGTGATACGTGTGTGTGCATATGAAGTAACCTTATTATCTATTTTTTTAGCATGTATTATTAAAAGAGACATTTGAAAAACTCACAAGATGTTTCTATTTATTTTGATTCTAGACAGATTTTGGGAAGTTTCAACTTAGACGATATGTTCAAAATAAAAATACATTGCAAATTTCCATGTTCTAAACTAATTACAACAAAAGCACAATTTAGGAGAATTGAGGGTAGGGGAAATTAAATGAATTATAAGCTTCATTAAGCATAATTTGATCATTGAGTATACTGAATTAGATTTTTACATTTTTATTCTTTCTGATCTAGATCAATATGTCTTGATCATCAGTGTGTGTGTGTGTGTGTGTGTGTATGATCACCAATGGTTTTTGTCATTTTGGAATGTCATGTAAAAGGGAAATGACAGTACCAGACAAACTATTATATGTGTACCAGAGAGTACACAAAAATTGGCATTGACTTATTCACTGAATCCTCACAGTGAGCGACATAAATCAAAACTCCCTGTGACAGTAGGGAAAGGCTGGTAACTTTTAGTAGGAAATTGATACAGGTATGCCTTTCAGAGAATGAGAGGAGATTCTTTCCACGGTGCTATCTACAGTAACTACTTGCAGGGATGTTGTTCCTTAATGAAAGGTTTCTTTTAAGATATATGTACCTTTTGTAATGCTAACAGAATTGATGATGGGAACTGAAAACCTAAGATGGACTGATGAACAGATTGGTTTGCAAACACCTCTTATGGGTAGAAAAATGTAGGTATAACATAATTTTTTACTGTAATGAATTATTATTATTTGCAAGAATACATGACTTTTTTCTTTCTTTCTTTCTTTTTTTTTTTTTTTTTTTGAGACAAGGTCTCCCTTTGTCGCCCAGGCTGGAGTGCAGTGGCGCTATCTCCTCTCACTGCAAGCTCCACCTCCGGGGTTCCCGCCATTCTCCTGCCTCAGCCTCCCGAGTAGCTGGGACTACAGGCGCCCACCACCACGGCAGGCTAATTTTTTGTATTTTTTTAGTAAAGACGGGATTTCACCATGTTGGCCAGGGTGGTCTCGATCTCTTGACGTCGTAATCCGCCCGTCTCGGCCTCCCAAAGTGCTGGGATTACACGTGTGAGCCACTGAGCCCGGCCGACTTTTTTCTTAAAGGGGAAAGACAATGAATTCTGTATTTTGTCAGAAATTTAAAATTTCTACCTCAATTAGTGTAAATGGAACTATCTTGTCGACATAATATATACAAAGCATTATATAAAAAGTGCTATAAAAGATAACAATTGTGAATAAGGCATAATATTCCCCTCATGATAAAAAAAGTTCAAAAATTGTTATAAATCTGTATAGGGTAGATTTGAGTTTTAAGAAAACAAAAAATGCTATAAGATTCAAAACCTGAGGAAATCACATTTATCTGGCTGTAATTCTGGGTAAAAAATTTTTGCATCTTTTGGGCATGTTAAACCAAATAAAAATAGCATATGTGGGTATCATATGCTACCAAGTATCACAACGCCACTGGCCTATAATCAGCCTTAGGCACCTTGTACACAGGTCCCTCCAGTATCATGAGCCTCAGTGTGTATTTCAGAAACACACACTTATAGCATATCAGGTGAACCACACTTGTTCCAAGTCATTCCTGTGTAGTCTTTAATAATAAATAATACTATGTGATAAATTTAGAGGTCAATCAAATGGGTGAGTTAGTTCTAGAAATTTTTGGAAGGCATTAATGGGCTATAATTCATTCTGTTTTGTCTTATCCTGAAATTCCCATGAAACCACCAGGATATCCTGTAGGAATTTTAGAATCACTCTGTTTCTCAAAAAGAACTCTAGTCTCCTCAACTAACTTCAGCTCCATATTCACTTGGTATTATAGTTTTGGCTGGGGCCATGTGCCCAAAACCACATTGCTGGATTACTCTGTTTTATGGAATTTTCTGCCACAGCAATTTGTATCATGTTCATTTTTTACTATAGTAACCTATGGAATGTTAAACAAAGTATCTCGAAAAAGGAAGAAGAAAGAAGATGAAGAAGAGGAAGAAGAAGAAGAGGAAGGGGAAGAAGAAGAAGAAGGAGAAGGAGAAGGAGAAGGAGAAGAAGAAGAAGAAGAAGAAGAAGAAGAAGAAGAAGAAGAAGAAGAAGAAGAAGAGGAGGAGGAGGAGGAGGAGGAGGAGGAGGAGGAGGAGGAGGAGGGGGAGAAGAAGAAGAAGAAGAAGAAGAAGAAGAAGAAGAAGAAGAAGAAGAAGAAGAAGAAGAAGAAGAAGAAGAAGAAGAAGAAGAAAAAGAAGAAGAAGAAGATTTCTATGAAATACGTTTTGTTTTGCTGTTTCAGTCCGTAATCTATTCTTCTAGAATTGAAACCTACATGCACCACCTGATTTAAAAAGTGGGTCTGAGATCAGTGTCATACCTTATGATCCTCTTTTTCCACAATCATAGCTTATTGTTTCAAATGTGACCCTCTGGCCCATGGAAAGTTATTTAAATGTATCTCATTTGGGAAGTCGAACTAAATAGTACTAACATACTGATTTAGTAAATTGTAGCTAATATCTCACTGGTGGCAAAATACCACAGTGAACATCTAAGAATTTCTTGGGCTGAAACCTTCATAATTGCCCTGGATTCCACTTTTCCTGAGGCTTGCTGTGTGTGGTTCTTTACAATAATTTTCCTTTATTTTTTGAGCTGTTGACACTACTGCCTTAAGAGCAAATGCAACCTAATAAAAACAGTCAACTCTTGGCATAGTTTTGCCTGTAAAATTAAACAGTCTTAATTTATTATTTCTGTAATCCTTAGTGGCATTTATCGGATTAGGATTGAAATATCAAAAGCAGTTATAAGCACTGGTATTCCTTGGAATGAAAAATAAGAAAATATATAATTTTATGTAATTTTATGTGTACATGTGTGTTTGTGTGTGTGTTTAATGTTTTTATGCTACCTGATATTTGTGGATCTTAATGTAATAAGAATCTCTGATCATCTCTTGTGCAATATGGGATGCTGGTGGTCTCTGGAGTGTCACGACAAAAGTTACATCAACTGGCGGTGACCATAAATGAAGTGCCTATGAAAGACAATGCCTCAAGACACCAAATAACTGCTGCCCTAGATTGCTGGGGGAGGAATGATGACTATAGATACACTAGATTTTTCTGACTATACTGGAACATTAACAACAACAATAAAATGACAAGTTTAGTCCTTTAAATACTTAGTTAAAGGCACAGTCAGAGACCATGTTTCTGTGGTTTATCAGAAAGCATGTTTTATCTCTTATTTTAAAAATTCTGTTTCTGAAACCAGATCTAAAGTTTGATTCTGCATAACAGATTTACAACCAAGTTAAATTCAGGTCTGCTCCAGATGTTTCAGTAATAGGGAAATAGCAATAACCTGAATATCATACTGAGGACATTTGAGAGGATTTGTATGAACATGAGTATGCTGAATACCTAAATTCAATGATCCTACCTTACCCATTTTTTTCTTCTGCATGAGGAGGCTACAATCCTTTCATTTGAAGATCCTGTACTTTCCTCACTTGAAGCAGTCACTCTTCTTCATGATATTCATTTCATCCCTTCTTGTTACTTCCAAAACTGTAATTAGAGTTAGATTTCATCATGGCTGAAGGAAATGGGCCCAAAGTCTACTTGGAAGAGATAGCATTTGCACCAAAAGTGCAAGGTTTTGACACTTCATATCAAGCAGAATATGGGGGAATATGTGTGTAAATAAATACTTAAAGTGGAAAAGCTATTAGGAAAGAAAAATGCATAGTATTCCATGGTGCATATGTGCCACATTTTCTTAATCCAGTCTATCATTGTTGGACATTTGGGTTGGTTCCAAGTCTTTGCTATTGTGAATAGTGCCTCAATAAACATACCTGTGCATGTGTCTTTATAGCAGCATGATTTATAATCCTTTGGGTATATACCCAGTAATGGGATGGCTGGGTCAAATGGTATTTTTAGTCCTTGAGGAATTGCCACACTGACTTCCACAATGGTTGAACTAGTTTACAGTCCCACCAACAGTGTAAAAGTGTTCCTATTTCTCCACATCCTCTCCAGCACCTGTTGTTTCCTGACTTTTTAATGATCGCCATTCTAACTGGTGTGAAATGGTATCTCTTTGTGGTTTTGATTTGCATTTCTCTGATGGCCAGTGATGATGAGCATTTTTTCATCTGTTTTCTGGCTGCATAAATGTCTTCTTTTGAGAAGTGTGTGTTCATATCCTTCACCCACTTTTTGATGATGTTGTTTGTTTTTTTCTTGCAGGGACATGGATGAAGCTGGAAACCATCATTCACAGCAAACTATCGCAAGGACAGAAAACCAAACACTGCATGTTCTCACTCATAGGTGTAAATTGAACAGTGAGAACACATGGACACAGGAAGAGGAACATCACACACCGGGGACTGTTTTGGCGTGTGGGGAGGGGGGAGGGATAGCATTAGGAGATATACCTAATGCTAAATGAGGAGTTAATGGGTACAGCACACCAACATGGCATATGTATACATATGTAACAAACCTGCACGTTGTGCACATGTACCCTAAAACTTAAAGTATAATAATAAAATAATAAGTAATAAATAATAAAATAAAATTAAATTTTAAAAAAAAGAAGTTAAGAGCTGGGATTCTCACAATATGGCTTGCAGACTACAAGTGTGAACTGAGGAGGTCCCCAAAGTCACTTCTTACTAAGGTAATATTTTCTTTGTTTTTTTTTAGAGAGAGGGTCTTGCTCTGTCACCCAGGCTGGAGTGCAGTGTTGCAATCATAGCTCACTGCAGCCTCTACCTCTTTGGTACTAGTCATCCTCCCACCTCAGCCTCCCCAGTAGCTAAGAGTATAGGTGTACACAAAGTAATGCTTTATTAAATGTTTTATTGCCTTTTTATTCTAAAAGCTATACTTGATCAATATAGAAAATATAAAATAATAAAAACTACAGAAGAAACAAAATTTATCAACAATTACCAACTAAAAATAATGACTTAGACATTTCATCACTCTTGCAATATTTCCATTAATAGCTATTTATCTAGTGGATGGAATATTTTCCATGTTATTTCCTAATTAGTCATGTCTAATGTAAAAGGAAGTTCTTGAAATCCATCTAATATATCGATCCTTTGATTATTTTTTCAATAATTTTAATTAATTCATTTGCACTTTCAAAGCATATTATCTTTTTCTGAAAATTATTTTCTGTCTATTGTATACAACATTTCTGTTTCATATCTTATGCATTGGTTGTAACCTCTAGAACAATGTCAAATAAAAATTATAATACATGACATTTTTAACTGATTTTAATGGAAGTACAGGTAGATATTTTGCTCTTTGGTTTGAGATGTTCTATGTTATCTGAAAAAAATCTCATTCTTAGTTTCTAAGGAACTTATTACAGGAATGGTTGTTATACTTACTATATGTCTAAAAAAAGAAAAAGAAAAGAAAAATGCATTTAAAGTGGCTGAATGTGAAAGTATGAACACACTAACTAGGGATTCTGGAATAAATGTATTAATTGGCTTATTGTGCTTGATTGGATAATCAAAATCCAACCTAAATGGTATCCTATGTTAAAGGAATTTGAGTTAGTGTAACTTTCTTAATGTTCATAAACAAATGCCAAAGCTAAAAAATATAGGGATGTTTAAATGGGTTTATTATTTCTGTTATCTCTTGGAAGATCCTCAGAGGACATTCCTGTCATGAAAGCATTGAAAATATTTTTGTGAGGGAAGTACCAGCGCCCTTGAAGCACTCTGCATTCTCTGCATTGGATGTATTCATGAGGCATGGATTAACTAATGAGGACTGGGCTCCTTGATGTTAATAGGCATACCAGTATCCCACTGTAGACAAAGCCAAATTATAGCACTTAACAGCCACTGATTTAACAACCAATATGGTTACTGAAATGGACAGCGGTACTGAAATAGCAATATTAATAATTTTCACATTGGGTATCTTTGGAAGTAGCAAATTGATCATAAAGACTCTAGAACTGAAAAAGATGAACCAATATACCAACATGTTATGTAATGTTTAGAAAAAAAATCATAAAATCCTCTATCTGGAGACTTTATTTGAGTGGTCATGGTGGAGAATAGCAAAATGAATAAATAAATAATTTTAATTACTAACCTATTTCATAAGAATTCCATAGGTTGCTATTTTTGTTGGTGTCTATAACAAAATAAGACTGAAGTGCTAGCTTATGATTCAATACATCCAACAGTACATACAATATCTGTACAAATTCATACAGGGAATAAAAACCTGGCAAACATCTAGGTTTGGGAGCAAAGCCATGTCTTTTTCTACAAATAACAACTCCTTAAGAAAAAAAAAAAAAAAAAAAAAACATCAACTTTGCTATGAAACCCACAGTAGAGATTTGATGGGCTATCTTACCTAGTAACCATACGGTCTGAGCTCTCCAACATGATTACAATTAGCTATTATCCGATCCATAAAGCCCTACAGTTGGGCTGTTATAGATTCTGATACCACAAATAGTTTTATGATCAAATATTTCAGACTCTCATGAGATCTATTTTGCCTGAATTTCCACCTCTTCTTCAGTCCATATCCAATGGCCTCATAGGGGATTTCATAAAAAACAATTGACTGGTAAAGAAAAAAACAACCATTCTGATAGGAATTGGCTTATGGGGTTATGGAGGCTGCTGTGGACCAAATGTTTGTGCCCCAACCCCTACATTTATATCTTGAAACTCCAAACCCCAGTGTAATCCTATTTGGTGGTAGGGCCTTTGAAATGTAATAAAAATTTGATTAGATTCTGAGGGTGGAATCCTCATGATGGGATTAACACCCTTATAAAAGAGAAGTAGATGAGCGCTCTCTCTCTGTCTCTCTCTCTCCCCTTCTCCCTTTCTCTCTCTCTTTTTCTCCTCCTCTCCCTCTATCTCTCTCTCTCTTTCTCTCTCCTTCTGTATCCCCCTTCCCCACCCCACCCCCTTTCTCAGCATGCATTCATCAAAGAAGGCCACGTGATGACATAATTAGGAATAAAGAGGGCTGCCGCCAAGAACCCAACCATTCTGGAACCTTAATCTAGAACTTCCAGCTTTCAGAGTTGTGAGAAATAAATATTTCTTGTTTAAGCCACCTAATCTATAGTATTATGTTATAGCAACCTAAACTGATTGAGAGGGAGACTCAGAAGTCTCAAATTTGCAGTCAGCAAGCTGGAGAACCAGGAGAGCCAATGATGTAAGTTTTGGTCCTTTAGCCCATGAATATGCAAGCTCAAGAGCCAAGAAGAGCTGAGTTTTAGTTCAAGTCCAAAGGCAAGAAAAGCAGATGTTTCAGCTTAAGTAGTCAGGCGGGAGGAGTTCCCTCTTAAACGTGGGAGGATGAGCCTTTTTGTTCTCTTCTGGCCTTCAACTGATTAGATGAGGGCCACCTACATTAAGGAGGACAATCTGCTTTACTTATTCTACCAATTCAAATGTTAGTCTCATTCAAAACACCATTAAAGACATGCTCAGAATAAGGTTAGGCCAAATAGTTTGGCATCCTGCTGTCCAGTCAAGTTCACACATAAAATTGGCCATCATAAACATAAAATATAACAGCGAAGTCCCCTTGGGGGCAGAACCTTGAGTATGGCATCTGTTTGTTCACTTCATTTGAGAAACAAATTGCCCAGAGGTTCCAATAATTCATTTGAACCTTAATTCATCCATACTAACAATCAGATGTGTTGATTAATAATTTATGCGGATGACAAATACCTTAGAAACTGTACAATTATAAGGCTGGGAAAAAGTTTAGTGTAGATTAAGGAGAAAACTCAAGAACTGGCAAAGTAGGTAAATATATATAGTATCTGTGTATATATTTTCAAAAACAAATGCTGTGAAAGAAATCTGCAATAATCACATAGTAAGATTTCTCATTCAGTGAATGTCCACCAACCTCTTTACCTGTTACCTTTAGCTTATTCAGTGGAATCATTAGCAAACTGAGAATGAATGCTGGTATAGAAGTGGTGTAGCCTCAAGTCCATAAACTTCTCCTCACCAAGGTAAATCTGGCTACCTCCACTGCTTAATGACTAAAATGCCCATAGCAAGAACCAAAGAGAAGCCCTTCATATGGTATATATTCCTGAAGGAAAATATAGCAGTAAATTCTGGTGTCAGTTTAATAAACTTTTAGTTTTCAGTCACAGGGGTGGCAGCAATTTGTCCCCACCGGTATCGCCACTTCTCCGTCTGCAATGTTTGGACCTCATTCTCATCTATGAATTCACAAAATGAATGATTTGCTGCCCTGATAACCTATGTCGCTTATGTACAGCAAGGTAGTAAAGCAATAGATTCATTCTCAGGGGAATCACTCACATCACTATGTACCCCATCATCCTGAAGAAGTGAGCATAGCCAGGCACAGTGGCTCACACTTGTAATCCCAGCACATTTGGAGGCCAAGGCAGGTGGATTACCTCGGGTCAAGAGTTCAAGACCAATCTGACCAATATGGTGAAACCCCATCTCTACTAAAAATACAAAAAATAGTCAGACATCAAGGCATGTGCCTGTGGTCTCAGCTACTTGGGAGGCTGAGACAGGAGAATTGCTTGAACCCAGGAGGTAGAGGTTGCAGTAAGCTGAGATCGTGCCACTGCACTTCAGCAGCCTGGGTGATAAAGCAACATTCCTTAAAAAAAAAAAAAAAAAGAAGAAGTGATGAGGCTAATAATATAGTGGGACAGCTTATAGAAGACTTAAATATGACATTTTGCATATAATAACACTTGGTGGGTTTGGAGAAATGTTCTACAAATTTTAGTTTATGCTCTGATGACAAAAAAAAGGTACCTGTTTCTCTTCTAGCCAAAAAAAGAAAAAAAAGATTGGGAAATGGATTGTTGAAAATGAGAATGACTTATTTTATTATAACCCTGAAAACTTCCCTCCAAAATTTTAAAATTCCCATTCCTATAATTTACTGTGTTGATGATTTCTTGATCTATGTTCCTAAGGAAAAAAAAAAAGAAACTTTTACAAGGGCACAATGACCATTTCAATGAACTGGAAATTGGGAAAACTACCTCACCATTATGGGTTCCTAATACAACAGAACCAATAGGTAAAAGAAGATGTATTAAATGTTTGCAGTCATAATTCTAATTCTAATTCATAAAGAAGCAGCAGGATTTCTGTTAATCAATAGAGTCTGAAAGGGTTACGTTTTTAAACCAGTGGTTTCTCTGAGGTGTCTTTCAATATTTCCATATCTAGTGATAAACAACAATAAATGACAACAATCAAATATAGGCAAGATCAAACACTTTGGGAATAAAAAATTAAGTCCCCATACTAAGCAATGTGTTGTAAATTTGGGGGGAGTTAATTGTGGACAAATGGAACATGAAATGGAATGGAAAGTAAAAGAAAAGAGTTTTAAGTACTAACTAATATCCTGTCTATGCAGGTAATTGCTGGGAGACTCCTGGTCAGGCTTGCCAAACTCCATTCCATATTAGATTCTAAAAAGGCCCTGAATTTCAGTTCCATCTCCTTACAATGGCAGTCTGGGAGCAATCTTGCCCACATAGAGATATGCTAGGAGTCTTGCCCACCAGTGACATGGGCTCGGCTTGCCAATTCTGGTCCCACAGAAAATTCTGAAATAACCCAGACGCTCAGTTTTAGCCATCTTTCAACTGTGATCTGAGAGTAGGTTTGCCCAGGAAGAATCCTACTTTGAGATATGCCTGTCTGAGTTCCTGTGGAAGGCTTGGCAATTTGTCCCACAGCAGATCCTCAAATGCCCTGGATCTCAGGCCCAGTCCCTCTTGTTTGTAGACTTAGAGCAGTTCTGTCCACCTGGAGACCCAGAAGGGGGCATGTCCCACAGTGCTCTGCAGGCTGACACACTGACCTCAGTCCCACTGTGAATCCTAAAGTGGCCCTGGAAATTGGCTCTATCAATCACTTCTCAACTGCAGTATGAAAGCAGGCCTGCTCACTCGGAAAACTGCTGGGAGACACCCTATTAATGGCCTCAGAGACAGGCCTAAAGATTTCGGTCTCAGCTGTGGCCTCATATAAACTCGTGCCTCAGTTCCAGCTCATTTTAGCCATCAACTTGAAAAGTACAGCCAGCCCAAGGATTCATCCAGTGATATAACAGGAGCCCTTCCAGAGACCTGGTGAAAACCACATCCATCATGCATGTGGTAACAGACCTGCCATTTGCAAACCCTGAAATGAGACTTAATTATAGCACAGATCCATAGACCAAAGGACTGGAGAAAGTCCAGTCTACCCAGGGACCAGATAGGACCCACATGCAATAGAGCCCCTGGTAACAGACCTGCTCACTGCATTCTCCATTGCAGATGCAGCATCAGCCATGAGACCCAGATGCAATCCCACTTAACTGCTATCCCACAGGCAATCCCATCAGCCCAGAGACCAAACAGATTATTTTCCCTTGCTGAAACCAGTCTGTAAACAATGAAAGAAGGGTTTGCTACTTCCAGTATACAGACACCAATGCAAGACTGCATGGATAACAAAGAATCAAGCACACATATTACCACCAAAGAAAACCAATAAAGCTTCAATAACCAACTCCAAAGAAATGAAGATATACGAATTGCCAGGAAAAAAATTCAGAATAATCATCTTGAAGCTCAGTGAGATGCAACAATATATAGACAACTAAATAAAATTAGAAAATAATGCATTAACAAAATAAGAAGTTTAATAATTAAATAGAAACAACTCCCCACCCCCAAGAAAAAAACAGAAGAATCTCTGGAGCTGAGAAAAATCAATGACAGAACTGAAAAACTCAACAGACAATTTCAACAGCAGACTCAACCATGTGGAAGAAAGAATTAGTGAACTCAAAACAGGTCATTTGAAATTAGCCAATTACAGGAACAAAAAGAAAAATATATATAAAAAGAATAATAAAAACATATGGGCCTACAGAACATAACAAAATGTGCAAGTATATAAATTATGGTAGTACCAGAAAGAGAAGAGAAATAGAAAGGGGAAGAAAGCTTATTCTAAGAAATATTGCCTGAGAACTTCTAAAATTTTGGAAATGATGTGGACATGCAGATTCGGGAGGTCCAAAGCATGGTAAGCAAGATCAAATCAAAAAAAGAACACTCCAAGACACATTATAATCCAATTGCCAAAAGTCAAAGAGGATTTCAAAAGAGCAAGAGAGAAGAAACTTGTCACATGTAAAGAATCTTTCATAAGGCCATCAGCAGATTTTCAACAGAAATCTTTCAAGCCAAGAGAAAATGGGATGACATATTCAAAGTGCTAAAGGAAAAAAAGAGAAGCCAAACAGAAAAATTATCCTTTGCAAAACTGTCCTTTTGAAATGAAGGGGAGAATCGCCTGAACCTGGAAGGCAGAGGTTGCAGTAAACTGAGATCGTGCTGCTGCACTCCAGCCTGGGCAACAGAGTGAGACTCTCAAAAAAAAAAAAAAATGCTGTCTGGGAAGAACAGCATGGGAAGAAACCATGTGACCTAAGATTAAGAAACAGCTGTAGGGCTCAATGTTGCCCAGGCTGGAGTGCAGTGGCGTGATCTCAGCTAGCTACAACCTCCACCTCCCAGCCGCCTGCCTTGGCCTCCCAAAGTGCCGAGATTGCAGCCTCTGCCCGGCCACCATCCCGTCTGGGAAGTGAGGAGTGTCTCTGCCTGGCTGCCCATCGTCTGGGATGTGAGGAGCCCCTCTGCCCGTCTGCCCAGTCTGGGAAGTGAGGAGCGCCTCTTCCCGGCCGCCATCCCGTCTAGGAAGTGAGGAGCGTCTCTGCCCGGCCGCCTGTCGTCTGAGTGGGGAGCGCCTCTGCCCCGCAGCCCCGTCTGGGATGTGAGGAGCGTCTCTGCCCAGCCGCGACCCCGTCTGGGAGGTGAGGAGAGTCTCTTACCGGCCGCCCCGTCTGAGAAGTGAGGAGCCCCTCCACCCGGCAGCCGCCCCGTCCAGGAAGTGAGGAGCATCTCCGCCTGGCAGCCGCCCCGTCCGGGAGGAAGGTAGGGGGTCAGCCCCCGCCCGGTCGCCGCCCCGTCCGGGAGGTAGGGGGCGCCTCTGCCCAGCCACCCCTTCTGGGAAGTGAGGAGCCCCTCTGCCCGGCCACCACCCCGTCAGGGAGGTGTACCCAACAGCTCATTGAGAACAGGCCATGATGACGATGGCGGTTTTGTGGAATAGAAAAGGAGGAAAGGTGGGGAAAAGATAGAGAAATCAGATTGTTGCTGTGTCTGTGTACAAAGAAGTAGACATAGGAGACTCCATTTTGTTCTGTACTGGGAGAGGTTCTTCTGCCTTGGGATGCTGTTGATCTGTGACCCTGCCCCCAACCCTGTGCTCTCTGGGGCATGTGCTGTGTCCACTCAGGGTTGAATGAATTAAGGGCGGTGCAACATGTGCTTTGTTAAACAGATGCTTGAAGGCAGCATGCTCCTTAAGAGTCATCACCACTCCCTAATCTCAAATACTCAGGGACACAAACACTGCGGAAGGCCGCAGGGTCCTCTGCCTAGGAAAACCAGAGACCTTTGTTCCCTTGTTTATCTGCTAACCTTCCCTCCACTATTGTCCTGTGACCCTGCCAAATCCCCCTCTGAGAGAAACACCCAAGAATAATCAATTAAAAAAAAAAAAAAAAAGCGAGAAAAAAAGAAACAGCTGTAGGAACTGAAAGTGTTTAGCTCAGATGTGACTAAGGGGTATCAATTGGTGTCTTCAAGTATTGTGGCTCTCGTAGATAAGAGAATGAAAAACACAAAAAAGAAAAAAGAAAAAAGTTTTAAAAAGAGAGAATGAAGTAATTTAATTACACTAGAGCCTAGGTGCAATGAGAAGTTAGCCAGCAGGCAAATTTAAATAAATACTGAAGGGCTGGGCGCTGTGGCTCAGGTCTGTAATCCCAGCACTTTGGGAGGCCAAGGTGGGTGGATCAATTGAGGTCAGTTTGAGACCAGCCTGGCCAACATGGTGAAACCCCGTCTCTACTAAAAATACAAAAATTAGCCGGGTGTGATGGTGGGCGCCTGTGGTCCCAGCTACTCGGGAGGCTAAGGCAGGAGAATCACTTGAACTCAGGAGGTGGAGGCTACAGTGAGCCAAGATCACACCACTGCACTCTAGCCTGGACAGCAGAGCAAGACTCCATCTCAGAAATAGAAAATACAAAATAAATAAATATTGAAAACAAAAAACAAAACAAAACAAAGAAATGAAGGGGAGGTTAAAAAAATTCAAAACAAGCAAAAAACTGAAGGAGTTCATCACCATGAAACTACTCTTATGAGAAATGCTAAAGGAAGTTTTCACATTAAAACAAAATAATGATAAGCAACAATATGAAGCATATGAAAGTATAAAACTCACTGGCAAAGGTAAATATATAGTCAAATTCAGAATACTCTAATATTATAAAGGTAGTCTGTAAATCACTCTTTTGTGTAAGAGTTAAAAACAAAATTCATTTTTTAAAAAAGCTATGATTGATTAACAGATACAAAATATACATCCATAGCATGATATTAATAGCATAAAATGTTAAAGTAAAATACAACATCAATAGCATAGCCTGTGGAGGAAAAGAATTAAAAGTGCAGTGTCTTGTATGCAATTGAAGTTAAGTCACTGTCAGCTTAAATTAGGGTATTATAATATGACGGTGTTTTATGTAAGTCTCAGGGTAGCCATAAAGCAAAAACTTCAGCAGGGTGTGGTGGCTCATGCCTGTAACCCCAGCACTTTGGGAGGCTGAGACGGGAGGATCACAAGGTCAGGAGTTTGAGACCAGCCTGACCAATATGGTGAAACCCCATCTCTACTTAAAATACAAAAATTAGCCAGGCATGGTGCATGTGCCTGTAATCCCAGCTACTCAGGAAGCTGAGGCAGGACAATCACATGAACCCGGGTGGCAGAGGTTGCAATGAGCTGAGATAGTGCCACTGCATTCCAGCCTGAGCGACAGAATGAGGCACTGTCTCAAAAAAAAACAAAAACAAAAACAAAACAAAAACTACTAAATACACAAAATACAGAGAGAAAGAAATAAATTATACCACTACAAGATTAAAACAAATCATAAACAAATACAGCCAGAGTGAAATAAAGGAACAAAATAATTTCAAAACATTTAGTCTAAATGTAAATGGATTAAATTCTCAATTTAAAAGCCACAGAGAAGATGAATGGATTAAAAAAAATTAAAAAATGAAAAACCAAAGATCTATCAAAACACTGCCTACAACAGACTCACGTTAGCCATTAGAACAAACATAAGGCCAGATTCAGTGACTTATACCTATAACTCTAGCATTTGGAGACACTGAGAGAGGAGGATTGCTTGAGGCCAGGAGTTGAGACTAGTGTGGGCAACATAGCAAGACCCTATCTCTACAAAAAAAAATTTAAGTTAGCCAGCCATGGTTGTGCATGCCGATAGTCCCCACTACTCAGGAGACAGAGGCAAGAGGATAGCTTGATCCCAGAAGTTTGAGGCTACAGTGAGTTCTAAACATGCTACTGAACTCCAGCCTGGACAATATAGCAAGATCCTGTCTCTTTAAAAAATTTGTTCTAACAATAAACATAGATTGAGAGTGAAGGTAAGGAAAACATATTTTAGGCAAATGATAATCAAAAGCGAGCAGGCGTGGCTACACTTAGACAAAATCGACTTAAAGTCAGAAACAGTAAACAGAGACAAGGAAAGTCAACATATAATGATAAAGGGGTCAATTTAGCAAGAGGATATAAGAGTTTTTAATATATATGCACCTACATCAGAGCACCTATACATATAAAGCAAATACTAATAGATCTGAAGGGTTAGATAGACTGCAATATAATAATATTATATATAGATAGAATACATGATAGAATACATCAAGAAGAAATAGAAATCTAAACAGACCATAGTAGGAGACTTCAGTACTCCACATTCAACATTGCGTAGATCATCCAGACAGAGAATCATTGGAAAAATAGTGGAACTGAATAACACTTTGGATGTAGACCTAATTGACATACATAGAATATTCCATCCAACTGAAACAGAATACATCTTTTTTTAACGACACATGGAATATTTTCCGCAATAGATTATACATTAGGCCACAAAACAAGTCTTAACACATGTAAGAAGATTAAGATCATACCAAGTATTTTTTTCTGACTCTAATGGAATGAAAATAGAAATCAGTAACAGGAGAAATATTAGAAAGTTTACAAATATACGGAAATAAAACAACATGCTTCTGCAACACCAAAGGTGAAAGAAGAAATTGAAAGGGACATCAAAAAATCCTGAGACAAACAAAAGTAAAAACACAACATACTAAAACTTTGGAGATGCAGCAATAGCAGTTCTGAGAAGGAAGTATACAGCAATAAATGCCTACATAAAAAAAGAAGAGAAACCAAATAAGCGATTTAATAGTACACCTCCAGGAACTATAAAAGAAAGATAAATTATACTCAAAATCATTAGAAAGAAGGAGCGCATAAAGATTAATGAAATAGGGAGTAGAAAAACAATAGAAATATCAACAATAAAAAGAAATGGTTTTTTGAAAAGATAAACATAATTGACAAAACATTAGCCAGATTAACTACAAAAAGAGAGAAGACTCAAGTAAATAAAATCAGAAATGAAATAGGAGAAATTACTACTGATATCACAAAATTACAAAGGATCATGAGTGACCATTATGAATGATTATACACCCACAGATTGGGTAAACTAGAAGTGGATAAATTCCTATAAACGTATAACTTAGTAAGAATACATTAAGAAGAAATAGAAATCTAAACAGACCAATAATTAGTAAAGAGATTAAATCAATAATAATAATAAACAATTCTCATCAAAGAAAAGCTTAGGACCAGATGGCTTCATGGTAGAATTTTACCAAACATTTAAAGACTAATTCATAGCAATCCTTCTCAAACACTTCCAAAAAATTGAAGAAGAAAGAATATGTCCAAACTAATTTTACAAGGTCAGCATTACGCCTAATACCAAAGCCAGATAAGAATGCTACAACAACAGAAAATTACAGGATAATATACTTGTTGAACGTAGATGCAAACATTCTTGACAAAATACTGGCAAATTAAATTCGACAGCACATTAAAAGTATCATTTGCCATAATCAAGTGTAATTTATCTTTAGGATGCAGGGAAGTTTCAACATATGCAAATCAATAAATGTGATACATCATATTAACAAAATGAAGGACAAAAACCTTATTATTACCTGAATAGATGTAGAAAAAGCATTTGACAAAATTCAACATTATTTCATAATAAAACCTCTGAACAAATGAGTCAAGAAGAATGGGAATTTTATTCAAAATAGTATTGGAAGTTCGAGATAGTGCAATTAGACAAGAAAAAGGGGAAAAAGGAATCCAAAGGGGAAGAACAAAGTGAAATTTTCTCTATTTGCTGATGACATGTTCTTGTACACACAAAACCCTAAAAGGCCAACAATATCTGGTACAATTCATAAAAGAATAGAGTAAAGTTGCAGGACTTAAAATCAAGCTGCAAAATTCAGAATTTATTTATACTATCAATGTGCTATCTGGAAAAGAAATTAAAGAATCAGTCTCATTCACAACATTTTAAAAGAACTCTTAGTAGTAAAATTTAACCAAGGAGTGGAAGATCTGTATACTGAAATCTGCAAACAATAAAGAAATGGAAGAAGACACAATCCAATGGAAAGGCGAAATTCCATGATCACAAATTGAGATAATGAATATTGTTAAAATGTCCATACTACTCCAAATAATCTACAGATTCAATACAATTTCTATCAAAATTCCAATGCTTCCTTTTATGGAAATAGAAACAACCATCCCCAAACTCATATGGAACCACAAAAGACCCTGAATACACAAAATAATCATGAGCAAAAAGAACAAAGCTGAAAGCATCACACTACCTTACTTCAAAATCCATTACAAAGCTATAGTAATCAAAATAGCATGGTGTTGTCATAAAAACAGACACATTGACCAATGGTTAATTAAATAATACATCTTTACAGTTGAAAGGAATAGCTTCAAGAGATCTACTGTACAGTATGATGATGTTATAGTTAATAATGACATACTGTATTATCAAAAAATGCTAAGACAGTGGATGTTAAGTGTTCTTATCACAAAGATGATAATTATGTGAGATAGCGCATTTGATAATTAGGTCGATGTAATCATTCCACAATGTGTAAATATTGCAAAACATCATGTTGTATGCTATAAATACATTGTTTATGTCAGTTTTAAAATGAATAAATTTGAGGAAAAAAAACACCAGACACATTGGCCAATGGAACATAATAGAGAGCTCAGATATAAACTCACACATTTATGGTTAATTGATTTTTTATAAAATGCCAAGAACATATAATAGAAAAAGGACAGACTTCAATAGATAGCATTGAGAAAACTGGATACCCACACACAAAAAAACGAAATTAGACCCACATCTCTCACCATATACAAAATCAACTAAAATGGATTAAAGACTTACACATAAGATCTGAAACTGTAATAGTACTGGAAGTAAATAGAGGGGAAATATTCCAGGACATTTGCCTAGGCAAGTATTTCTTGGATATTACCTCAGAAACACAGTGAAAAAAAAGCAAGAAAACAAACAACCCAATTAAAAAATGAACACAGAACCTAACTAGACATTTCTCAAAAGAAGATACACAGATGGTCAACAGGTTTATGGAAAAAATGCTCATCATCGCTCATCATAATGAAAATGCAAATTAAAACCACAATGAGATAAGATCCCATACACATTACAATGGCTATTATCAAAACAATAATACATGTTGATTAGGGTGTGGAGAAAAGGGAATCCTTGTACATTGTAAGCAAGGATGTAAATTAATATAATTATTATGGAAAACAATATGAAGTATTCTAAGAAAACTAAAAATATTATTACCATATGAACCTGCAATCTTATTTCTGGGTATATATCCAAAGGGACTAACATCCATATGCTAAGAAGATATATGCACTACCATGTTCATTACATTATTCACAATAGCTAAGCTAAGGAATCAACCTAAGTGTCCATCATCATATGGATGGATTTTTAAGGTGATATATATATATATATATATATATATATAATGTTCAGCTTTAAAGAAGGAAATTCTGTCATTTGCAACTTGATGAATCTGGAGGACATTACACTAAGTGAAATAAGCCGGGAACAAAAAGACAATTACTACATGATTTCACTTATATGTGGAATCTAAAAAAAAAAAAAAAAATGAACTCATAGGAGTAGAGAGTAGAATGGCAGTTAGCAGAGGCTGAGAGAGGAGCTTAGATGGGGAAAGGGGATATATGAAAAAAATTTCAATTAGACATCAAGAATAAGCTTTAGTGATCAATTAAACAGAATGGTAACTATAATAAACAATAATGCACTGCACATTTTAAAATACATAAATGCCATTTGCTAAGTAAGAACTATAGTAATATGCATATTTTCTTCATTGTTTTGCATCTTACCAATTGCCTTTCTTTTTTCCACATAACTACATATAAAGTGATTTGGTAGAAGTGAATTTTATCATTCAATCTTTTGTTACCAGATATAGAAGTAGACTTGTGATTGAATTAGAAAAGGAATAAACACTATGTAGTTCTGTATGCAGTGACTGATGAGAATTTGGTGAAGAGAGGAAAGACATTGTTGTTAGTCACATCATGTTAAGTAGTCATATGATGTTGCTGTCATTTGTTGTTTTGCACATAAGCATGAATAGAAGGTTATCTATTGATATGGAGGAACCAAAAGGGGGGACTGTGTCAGATTGGTTATTGGTGCTTAGAAGCATTTTCACCCCCTTCTATGCTCTATTCTTAACTTAGAAACCGATGGCTGGGAAATAAGTTTCCCAGAATGCATGTGGAAAAACTTCTATTAGATTATAATAATGAAAGAGATTCTTGTTGGATTTGGAAGTCAGAAGTGAAACACAGTTATCATTCTTCCTCTTGCAACAACAGGCAGACACATAGATGGGATAGATGTGAGACTTTTTAGTGTCCATTGTCTATTGCCCTAAGAATCACTCACTTTGGTGCTGCAGCCAGCACTGCAGTAACCATCAGCAATAATTTCCTGAACTTTTTGAGCTGGGTTGAAAATAGCAACTTTATGATTCCCCAAAAGCTAGCAACAAACCTGAGATATATTGGTGGCTTTCCTTGACCTTTCCTCATCACTCCTTTCAATGAATTTGTAAGCATTTAATTTCCTGTGTTAAACTCCATACTGTTTGCAATGTTTAAAGAGGCTTATGTTATCTGAATCATCAATGATAAAAGATTATAATTTCAGTGACTAAGGACTTTAAGACATAGAAAGTAATACTACCTGTAAAAATTACTATACCTATTAAAAATATTACTAGGCATATAACAAAATAGTTGCTGATTTGTTTATAAAATGACCTTTACCATCAATCATCAATAGCAAAAAAAGCATTATATATTAATAATTAATAACAATAAAAATGATACACATCTAAAAAGAAATTAGGTAAGTAATATTAAGAAGCAATACTTAAAAATTACATAATGGCCATTGTTATCTCCTGCTAATTTTTTGTCAGAGACTACCACTGAAATCAAAATCCGCTGAGAGAGAAATAGTCAAAGCATCCGTATAATATTAATGCAAGAAAATGTGTTGGGGGAGGGGCAGCAACCAAATTCCACACTAGAAAAATAACACATACAAGAAAACCTAGACCTAGAAGCACATAAAGATTTTAGCCAAATATTCCAACATTAATACAAAAATACTAACGATTAAATCACAACTTTTTATGAAAAGCAATAGAAACTCAGGGGAAAATGGCCAATTAATAGAAGGATCAATAAGAAGAAGGGAAACTGTACAGTAAGGCACATAGAGTACTGAAATAAGAAAAAAAAAGTTAAGAAAACCAAATTAAAATAATCAGTGAACAGTTAGTGACAGAAAATACAGGAGCCAAGACACAGTTTATGTAAAGTTGAGTTTTGAAGGAGAAAATCAAAGCAAGGGAACAGAAATGCACTAAAACATATTCTTGTAGAGCTATTGGATTTATAAGGAAACAATCTGTTTGGTTTCTAGGTGAAAAAGATAACATCACTTATAAAGGAAAGAAATTCAGATAGTCAGATTAAAAATGAAAGGCCAAATAATCAGTCTGGCTGCAATGTTCATTTCAGGAAGACAATAGATCAACATCTACAAAAGGACTTATGGGAGGGAAAAGTGACACAAGGATCTTATACTCAACAAATTTGTCTTCCAAGTATAAAGAATACCGACAAAACAGTATTCAATATGGAATAGCAACATACATTTTACATATGAAGTCTTTTTGAAGAAAAACTACAGTAAACTATGGACTAACTGGAAAATCCCTGGGAAAAACACTACAGTGAGAATTTCTCATTGTATAATGGAAGAACCAATATAAAAATCAAGGTAGGAATAAGAATAATAGGATGGGGCATAAATGTTATGTATCTTACAATGTTAAAAGGAATTAAGTGAAAATAATAAAAAGAGAAATAAATTTGGATATTGAAATAATCTTTATTGCCCCATAGGCAATAGCTTGAAATCAAAGGGCATCTTTTAAAATGACTAATTCACTGACAAAAGTATACAGATGTCATACAAACACAAGAAAGATAATACTAAAGTTTTTTTACAAAGATAAGCACTAAAAAGCACTTTTCAAAATACCAGAAGACCCACATAAAATCAAAGAAAAAAATACTACACAAAACAATATAGATATATATCTCCACACATACACACTTAAGCACAAATATATACAAAATCTGTTGTAGTATATCACATTAGTCAAGAAAAAGGAGGATAGAGAAGAAGGAAGATAAAAGAAAAGAAGAGGAGGGAGAAACAGCTCCATAAATATAATTTGGCCTGGGCTTTGATGAATAGTAGGAAACAGTTCAACATTGCATTCATTTTCCAAGACTTGCAGGGCAAGTTTTATTTGTTGCAGTTACAGTTAAATGCATGCCCAGGTAAATGCAGTATCTGATGCAAAATTATTAGATATAAGTGAATACTGTAGGCTATAAACCAATGATGAGTTTGAGGAATTAAAAATATTTTACCTTAACATAGTCTCTCTGGAATTAATTGTTTAATAATTGCTTTATCATTATCAAAAAGAAGAAAAGTTTGGTTGGGAAGAGGCAGGGAGTACAGTTCGTTTATACAATTATTAAAACAGAAAGTGAGGGACAGGAAAGTGTGGAGGTGTATTTCTATTTTTAACACTTAACATATATGATTGCACAGTCTAAGTATTATTCTGTTTTCACACTGCTATAAAGAACTACCTGACACCGGGTAATTTATGAAGAAAAGAGGTTTAATTGACTCACGGTTCTGCACGATTAACAGGAAGCAGGACTGGGAGGCCTTTGGAAACTTACAATTATGGCAGAAGGTGAAGGGGGAGCAAGCATCTTCTTCACATGGTGGCAGGGGAGAGAGAGGGGGAGACGAGCGGGGAGGTGCCACACACTTTTAAACCATTAGATCCTGTGAGAACTCAGTCACTATCACGAGAACAACATGGGGAAAATCCGCCCTCATGATTCAATCACCTCCCACCAAGTCCCTCCCCCAACATTGGGAATTACAATTCAACATGAGATTTGGGTGGGGACACAGAGTTAAACCACATCATTCTATAAGCTGTTTGGTAGTTTAAAATAAACTAGAATATTAACTGTTCTGTAAAGGCTGAATTTTTTTTCTTTGTTTGCGTGTTTTATTTATAGTTCATTACTTTACCCTAGTGCCTAACACTGTACCTAATATACGGGGGTGCTCATTAATAGTTGCTGAACAAAAGATTATTTTGGAGAAGCACATGGATAGCTCTTTTCTCGTCTTGTTTCCAGAGCAAATGGGGGAGAAACTTAGGTTAAAAACAGTTTACTTGTTATTAATAGTTTTGCCCATTAAATGGAAACACAGGCAGCTGTGAAATCAAGGTAGATAAGCATTTCACAAAATAATAACACATGTAGCCATAAATACATGAAAAATTATAACTACTGCTTATAAAGATGGTAAAAATTAATAGGATAATGAGTAATATTTTGCCTAAAATATTGGAATGAAAATAGCTGCTATTGTATACAACAAATTATTGTTTATAATAGCCAAATGTTGGAGAAGTATTCATACCTTTCATAATTTTAATACATTTGATATCTATTGCCAAGTTGCCTAATTATTTGTACTCCTACAAGCAGTAAGTGAAAGTGCCTGCCTCCTCACGGCATTCCCGGGCAACTGTTAATTGTGGATTTTCTTAAACTGCTTTCAGCTTACATAGTTAAGCAAATGATATCTGTTTATCAATTTATTAAAAGCAAGTCTCAGGCTCTGTTGCCTGCCTCAGTCTCAGTGCTCCTCAGCTGTCCCGGAAGTGGCTCTGATAGGGCTGGTCAGTGTGCCCTGAAAAGCTGTGGGAGGATGGCTGTCCCCACCTAGATTTCAAAGGAATGCTGGGTAAACTGCAGGCCCAAGCAGAGAATCTCTGTGATTTTATGGCACCTCCTCAGAGTGGAGAAGGGAGGCGAGTCAATCTAGAGTGAGCAAGTGAGGAATATTTAGAACATTACAAAACATCAGGTGATGTAATTTTTTCATATGTCTAAATGTGGCTCCTTTGGGTCCAGTGCATCATGAACTAAAATGATAAAGCATAAGCCTACCACCTCTCCACTATCATACACAGAAAATACACAGTGGCAGATCACAGGCGGGATAACCACATTCAGAAACGCAAAATGGAGAAATACATCAGGTACTGGTCCACTGACATTCGGAAATTTCTGTTAGGAAGACAAAGTGAAGTTCCTCTATCTTCAAGGGAGCTCTACCAACTTCCCAGCAAAATTGGGGAATCTATATATAACAAACAAACGAAACTCAATAATTTAGAGTCTGTGGAATGGTTTGAAGGACATACAGCTAATGAAAAAAAAAACTTTAATCAGTAAGAAGAGCTGGCATCTGTGGTATTTGAACCAATGTGGTTACCAGGTTATACAGGATGGCATGGTCTACCAGGAAAGAACTCTTCCCCAGTTATCCATAGCTTAAGCCCTGATTTGGCCGCTTCAGAGGCCCTGCCTCTAAATCTATTTTTGTTGGTCCCTGGCTCCTCCCTGTGGAAAGTTCTCCCTATTTTATTAATCTTACCGGCCACATCTGAAGGGGATATTGATGAATACGACCCTCTTTGTGGGCTACAGAGATATGTCAGCCTGTGTACAGCCTTTGAAGTATTACAAATCAACTGCTGTTTTAAGTTTGAAACAGTCACATACTTTTAGAGTAGATTTAATTAAGCTTTCATTGTCAATATGAACTTCTCAAAAAATAGTATATTCCTACTTTACTGGATTTATTTATTTTATTTTTTAGTTCATTTTGTGTTTTTTATTGAGGTGAGAACATTCAACATGAGATCTACTCTCTTCACACATTTTTAAGTGCATAATACATTATTGCTTACTACAGGCATAATGTCCTACTGCAGATCTCTAGAACCTAGTCATCTTATGCAACGGAAATTTTAAACCCATTAAACAGTAACTCCCCATTTCTTCCTCTGCTCAGCCTGTGACAACCACCATTCTACTCTCTGCCTTTATCAGGCTGACTATTTTAGGTACTTCACATAAGTAGAATCATGCAGTATTTGTCCTGTGCAACTGGTTCATTTCACTTAGCATAATGTCCTCCAGGTTCATCCATATTGTTGAATACAACAGAATTTACTTTTTTTAGAGGCTCAAATAGCATTTCATGTATATGTATGTATGTGTGTGTATATATATATTTACACACATATATACCACATTTATATACATATATATACCACATTTTATTTGTCTGTTCATTTATAAATTGACACTTCAATTGATTCTATATCTCATTGACTTATGCTCCAATGAGAGATCCAGATTTCAAAGACGTAAATCTTTTGGATGTATACCCAGAAGTGAAATTACTGGATCATATGTGAGTTCCATTTTTAATTTTGTGAGGAGACTCTACATTGTTTTTCATAGCAACTGTACCATTTTATATTCCCACCAACAATGCACAAGGGTTCCAGTTTCTTCACATTCTGCCAATACTTGTTGTCTTTTATTTTTTTGATGATAACCATTCTAACAGATGTGTAGTGGTATCTCTGTTTTAGTCTGGCCACTATAACAAAATACTATAGACTGGACAGCATTTAAACAGCAGTCTTTTATTTCTCACAGGCCTGAAGACTGGGAAGTTCAAGATCAAGGGGCCAACAGATTCAGTGTCTGTCCAAGGTCTGCTTTCTCAGAAACAGGCTCACTCTAAATCTCAGATTGTAAAAGGGATGAGGGGTCTCCCCTGAACATCTTTTATAAGGGAATAATCCTACTTATGAGGTCTCTGCCCCATGACTTAATCACCACCCAAAGGCCCCACCTGGTAACGGCTTCACCTTAGGAGTAAGGATTTCTACATACAGATTCTAGAGGCTCATTGCCTATCTTATTGTGATTTTAATTTGCATTTCCTTGAGGATTCGTGAAGGTAAGCATCTTTTTATATATCTGTTGGTCATCTGTATGTCTTCTTTGGAGAAATATCTATTTAAATCATTTGTCCAATTTTTAATGGGATTAGAAACTTAAATTAACACTCCTAGAAGAAAACATAAGAAAAACGTTACATGACAATGGTCTTGGTAATGAACCTTTATTGGATTTCTATTTGTTCTAGTAACTATAGTCACATTTTTACAGAGATTCTCCCAAATATTTATTTTTATTTTTGTGTTTTTATCCAAATGCCTTATTCTCTAAATATAATTGTGGTTACTTTGAGGCTATACATTTATAGTGAGTAGGGGACATTTTAATTTGATGAATATACAAGGATGCTGTATTAGATGAGAGGTTTCTCTGGTGAAAGTTCTTAATTTTATCTTTTCCCTAAAATAAATTTATCAAACTACATTTTTACCAAATGTTGGATGTTCAAAGTAAAGTCCGTCTCTCATTATTTTCACTTCAAAAGCAAATGGCTTTACATTGGAAGGCCTTAGATTTCTGAAATCTTTCTAACCACTTTTATTTCTCCTTTCAAACTGGTAGTTAATTTGAAATTCATATCTCTCTTGTATTACTTTGCAAATTCCATGATAACAACCAACATACCTTAAGGTTTTGGTTTCAATTTATTCCCGTAAAGCCATAAGCTTATTAGGCATATGATCTGCTTCCATACTTGTCTAGGTTAACAGTTTTAGTGAATATTCTAATACCAGATAACATAGATAGCAGTTTATTAATCTTTGGTTATTGCTTTCCTCATCACTTACTGCCCAGTCAGGAAAACAAAACCAAATATATTATTAAAATTTTTAAAAGAGGCATCCTACTTCTAGCACTAACGTTTGCATTAGACAAAATAGGCCAGTGTACATGACAGTTGCAAAAACGTTTATAAATATGTATGGTTAAAATAACATGGATTTGACAGTGGAGTCTGGTATGACAGCAAGAGGAAGCTCCTGCCCTCCCCACCACTCCCAATCCCCAGCAAAATTTGTGAAGACTATTAAAAGAATGACAACACATAAAATCTATGGGGATGACTCTAAGAGCACCTCCATAACAAGAAAAAAAGGTATTTGAATTGATAAGAACAAGAATTGGTGGTATTTTAACCAATACAGCTCCCTTTCTCATACCTCCTAGCTCAATGAGGTGGAAACTACTCCAGAGTGGTGTAGACAAAAATATAGAGCTTCCTCTTTCCCCATTTTGCTGTAAGAGTGCTATCATCCTGCATGATCAATATGTCAGCATGTTATCATTTTTCCCTCCTACCCACTGCTGAGGTTAAGTTCTGGGCAAGTATAGCCGAATAGTGGGGAAGTCTCTTTTTATTTTCAGTCCCCATTGGTGGGATAGACAGCACCTCTGAGAATGCTATGGCATCAGTTGCCCTTGCTCAAGCATGTAAAACAAAGGTTCCACACAGATTACCTGAAGACCTGAGAAGCTGAGAAGACTTGAAGCTACTGCCTCCTCAACCCAGAGCTTAGCTCATACAATAACAGTGCCATTCAAAGAGAAATATGTCATTCTTTCTGTCCCCAGCTCCAGAGTGATTGCTCAGTGACTTTGCCTTGGTGGGGAAAGCAGGCTATAAAACTGATAGCTCCTAATCTCCTAAAAGAATTATTTGTAACAAAACATGGAGAAGTTCAAGCCTAAGGGCACTTTCAAAAAGAGTGCAGGTTATGGTGAAAGACAATTTGGAGGGGTTGGCAATCTGATTGGAGATGCAAGTTAAACAGTATGCCGTCTTGTTTACAAGAGACACCTGGAAAAGAAAAATTTGGAAGAACCCTCCTAGGTTCAAATTTCAAACACTGTTCATGAGGACTATGCCTTCAAAGAAACTCAAATTTAATTGGATTAGCCTTTAAGCAGTTAATACCCCAAAGTATTGTTTTAAAAATTAGAGCAATAAGCTGGAAATCAGAAAAGCTTAGTAACTGGATGTGTCCAGTAAAAAAGCCAGTCAAAAGGATTCTTGTCAAAACTTCCATTATCCCAGGGTGGTTGTGGGAATTCACAAGATTAGGCTATAATTCAAGTATTTAGTCAAAATTTCTTTCAATCTTTTTTCAAGTCCTTTATCTCTTTCTCTCCTCTCCTTCTGATACTTGCATTGTGTATAACATTGTGTGCTTAAGGGTGTTCCACATCTCTCTGAGCTTGCTTTATTTTCAACCATTCTTTTTGCTCTCTTTTGTTGGCAATATCTGTATCAATAGATCTTCAAGTTTGGTAATTCTTTCTTTGCCCAGTTCATAAAATCTACTGTTTAGCCTCATTAGTGTATTTTTCACTTCAGTTATTTCTGAAATGTATTAAAAACAGTAGCCTACACAAACAGAAAGCTCAGCAAATACCAGTAGAAGGAACAAACAAAAAAAAGACCCTACAAACAGACACATAAGAGTAAAAATTCTGAAAGCCGAAAACAGAAAATATTGAAAGTTGCAAGGGAAAAATTACTCGTTTTCTATAAAGTACTCAAAGTAAAACTAACTGCTAATTTTTCAGTAGAAAGAATTGAAGCCAAAAGCACAAATTCAAAATACTCAAATAAAAATTTCTAAACTAAGAATTTTATACCCAACAAAACTATATTTCAAATGTGAAGATGAAATAAAGACAGAAACAGAGAATGTTTTCCTAGCATACTAGGCTCCCAGAAATTCTAAAGGAAGTTTTTCAGACTGAAAGAAAATGACCTCAGTTGGTAGTTCAAATCTACACCCCAAATCAAAGAACACCTATAAGGTAATTTTGCATAGTATTGTAAAAATTAATGAGATATTTTTTACACTTTTTTCTCTTAATGGTTTTAAAAGAAACTACAATAAACAATATGTATATACTGAATTGTTTGGCCTATAACTTATAGAAATATAATGTATTCAACAACAACACATAAAGAAGGTAGGTAGAAGCAAAGTTCTATTAGGGTAAGAAAATGGCAACAGATACTAACTAATCCACTCCTTTTAAAGTAGTTGAATGATATAAATTAACAATTACAATGATATGTTATTGTGTTTAAAACATGTATAGATGTAATGTGTATGATAATAATACCACAACAGTAGGAGAAAGAACAGAGCTATAAAATAGTAACATTCCTGTATCTCATGGGAATTAAGTTTGTATAAATGTGGACCTGATTCTAATCAACTAAGGCATATATGGTAAACTCTACAGCAACTTCTAAGGAAATAAGTCAAAAAATACTTGAAATCTTAGTGGAAACATTATTAAATATATTAAAATTCTACTTTAAAATGCTTAATTTAAAAGCAGTAAACAAATAATTGAAAACAAAAAAATCTCAAAATATATAGAGAACAAAAAGTAAATGGCAAACCTAATTCAACTCTTTCAATAATAACATTAAAAGTTAGTGAATTAAACAATACAATGTAAAGGCAGAGATTGCCAGACTGGATTTAAAAACATGATCCAATATATGCTGTCTATAAGAGGCACACTTTAAATTCAAAGACACAAATAGTTTGAAAGTTAAATGGGTAGGAAAAGCTATATCATGGAAACATAAAAAGTGTGAACACATATAAACACATAAAAGTTGGAGTAGATATATTAATAGCAGAAAAAAATGGACCTTAAAACTGAAAATGTTACTTGAAATCAAGGTAGACATTTTTGGTTTTATTTTGTTCCCAGGCAGGAGTGCAATGGCATGAACACGGCTCACCACAGCCTCAACCTCCTGGGCTTAAGCAATCCTCGAACCTCAGGCTCCTCAGTAGCTGGGACTACGAGTGCCACCAGGCCCAGCTATTTTTTTTTTTTTTATTTCTTGTAGAGATGGGATCTTGCCATGTTGCCCAGGCTGATCTTGAACTCTTGGACTCAAGCAATCTTCCTGCCTTGACCTCCCAAAGTGCGGGGATTACAGGCATGAGCCACCATGCTGGCCTGGACATTTTTTGATGATATAACGTTAATTTATCAGTAATATAGTAATTATAAACATATATACTCCTAGTAACAAATCATCAAAATGTATGAAATAAATAATGACAAAAATTAAGGAAAAAACAGATAATTCAATAAAAATATTCAGAGATATCAGTAACCTACTGTTCATAATGAATAGAAAAACTAAGAAAAAGTTGAACAAAATAATAGAACTCTCAACATAAAAAACTAGCTGTCAAACTTACATACATATATCCATACCTGTATTTATAAGTTACCCAGTCTTAAGTATTCTGTTATAGCAACATAAAATAGATTAACACAGAAAACTGGTACCAAGAAGTGCGATTGTTGCTGTATAGATAAGTTAAAATGTGAAAGTAGCTTTGGAACTGAGTAACGGGCAGAAGTTTAAAAAGTTTGAAGGAGCAGGCTAGATAAAGCCTAGATTCTGGGAAAGACAAAAGATAAGAAGATTAGGGAAAATTTGGACTCCTTAGAGTTTGGTTAAATGTCTGAAACCAAAATGTGAATAATAAAGGCCATTCTAATGATGTCTCAGATGAAAATGAGGAGTGTATTATTTGGAAATGAAGTAAAAGTCATTCTTGTTATACAATTGCAAAGAACTTGGCTGCACTGGATTCACATCCTAGCGCTTTATGGAATGAGGAGCTTAAAAATGATTAATTAGGAATTCTGGCAGGAAAAAAATATAAGCAAAATATAGAAGGATCTGCATGGATACTTGCATCTACTTCTACTGAGATTTGGGAAGACAGGAATAATTAGTTAGAATTTATAATAAAAAGGAAAGCAAAACAGATTTGGAAAACTCTCAGCCTGGCTATGTAGTAGAGAATGAAAGAGCATTTTCAGCAGAGGAATCCAAGCATGTGACCAAGTGACTGTTTGCTAAAGAGATTGATAGGGCTAGAAGGCAGCCAGAGGTTATTCGCAAGGACTCCAAAGGCATTTCAGAGATTTTCAAAGCTGCCCCTTTCCATCACAGTCTCAGAGGCCTATCAGGGAAGAACGATTTTGCAGGATGGTCCCAGAGTGCCTTCCAGAGTCTCACTGCCCAGGACTCCCTCATGACTATTCTCTGCACGCCAGTGGTGTGCTACTCAGTCATTCCAGCTGTGATTCCAGTTGCCCCACTTATGGCTCAACCTGCCTCTCCAAAAGGTGCAAGCAAGTAAACTTTGGAAACACTACATCATAGCTTAACTGGACCCAGATGCAGCTTATGCCACTGTTCCAGAGAGCTCAAGCAGTAAGACTTGGTGGTGTCCACATGGTACGAAATCTGCAAGTGTGCAGAATGAGAGAGCTAAGAATACATGGCAAAGATTTCAAAGGATGTATCAACCAGGGTGGAGCCCAGGAAGGGACTTGTTGCAGGATCAGAGCCCCACTAGAGCAATGCAGAGAAGAAATATGAGTTCAGAGCTGCTGCAGAGAGTCACAACCAAGGCAATGCCTAGCAGAGCCATGGGAGCAAGACTGCCACTGAGAATCTAGAACTGTACAGCTACTAGCATGCAACAGCTACAAGCAGCTACTAGCTAACTTATAAGAGCTTGCTGGACTAAGCCCAGCAAAGTCAAGTCACAGAGCTTGGACTGCCTAAGGCTTTTGGCATCTAACCCTTGAACCAGTATCTCCAAGGAGCAGAACATGGAGTCAAAGAAGAATATTCTGGATCCTTGAGATTTAATCTTCTCCATCCTGTTGGGTTTTAGACTTACTTAGGAGCTCTTACTCCTCTATTAGTTCCTATTTTTCCTTTTTGGAATGGAAACGTGTACCCATGCCTGTCCCACCATTGCATTTTGGAAGCAGGTAACTTGTTTTCATAGACTAGCAAATGAGAGTTTGGACTTTGAATTTTTGAGTTGGTGCTGAAATGACTTAATGACTTGTGGCTGTGTGGACAGAATGAATGTATTTGTATTAGAGAAGGATTTGAGTTTGGGAGGCCAGGCATGGAATGCTAACATTTGAATGTATATCCCTTCCAACAGTCATGTGGAAACTTAATCCCCATTGTAACAGTATTAAGAGTGTGGAAAATCCAGTTGTGGTATTTGAGAAGTGGAACCTTTGGGAGGTAATCATGACTAGGGGAGGTCATGAGGGTCGGTCATTAGGGGCTTTATAAAAGTGGATAGATCTGAGGTAGGGTGCTGAGTTCTATTTTCATGTGATGCCTTGCACTGCCTTGTAGTTCCTACAAGCAATAAGGCTCTGGCCAGATGTGGCCCGTAGAACTTGGACTTCTCAGCCTCCATAACTGTAAGAAAAAAATTTTCTTTATAATTTACCCAGTCTAAGGTATTTTGTTATAGCAACAAAAACAGATTAAGATAACAATCTTCAAAAATAAGATAAAATAAAATTGAAACATTCACATTATCTGACTCTAAAAATTATTTATAAGCTATAGTATTCAAAAAAGTATGGTCATACCATAAGAATCGACTTGTAGATTTTTGGAATAGAATTGAGATTCCAGACACAAAACCGTTTGTCTATGGTCAAGTAATTTTGGACAAAAAAATGAAGAAATATATTTAAGTTCTGTAGTCTTTTAAAATTAACATGAATTTTGTTTTGTTTTTAAAGAACAATTTACCAAATATAAAAGTTTTTGGGGCCAGGTGCAATGGCTCACATCTGTAAACCCTGCACTTTTGGAAGCAGAGGCAGGAGGATTCCTTGAGGGCAGGATTCCTTGAGGGCAGAAGACCAGCCTGGACCCTGTTTTTACAAAAAACTTAAAAAAATTATCCCCACATGGTGACATGCACCTGTACTCCCAGCTACTTGGGAGGCTGAGGTGGAAGAATCCTTTGAAGCTAGGAGTTTGAGGCTGCAGTGGGCTATAACGATATCACTGCACTCAGCCTGGGCAACAGAGCAATATCCTGTCTCAAAAAATAAAATAATAAAAAAGTAAAATAAAATAAATAAAAGTTGGTTTTCAGATAATACATGTAAAATTCTGGACATTGAGGTATTTTAGTTTTCCAACTCTCATTCTCTACTTTAATCAAATTAACTCACTCAAAATGCAACATCTTTCAGTGGAAGCTATTTTGTATGCAGTCTTGTCTTCTCTATCACCTAAACATGTTGCCTCTCAAGAAAGCTCTCAGTAAAGAATATTTGAACTAGAATCTATTGATTAATGAAATAAAAATTGATTTGAGATTCTCAAGGTTTTCTAAAGAGACCTAGGAAGAAATCAGGCATGTGATGTTAACAATGACAGTTTCTCAAAGCAGCATAGTAAGAGGGACCAGTTGCAAAAGAGGAGTAAAATGATAATTAAAGGAATAACATTCAGAAGCTAATGATGAAACAAGAGAAACATATACTACATAATATCAGGGCGGTGTGTGGAGAGAAAACACTTAAAACTTTTCAAAAGTATGTATGCATTAGGGCCAATAAAATTCCAAAATAGGCTACCAACAAGGTGGAAGGCAGTCTGCCAGCAGTACAGGCAACATAGCAAAAGGAAGTAATATTTATGTTAGAGACTATGGCTAATTCCAAAGCAAAAGAAGAAGAATGTGAGAAAAGACATGCATCAATTACAGCTCACAGAATTGGTTCTTAGCACAGCTGATGGAAGCAGGAAGAAAAATAATAATTTAAGTTTAGGTAACTCTAACAAAATGCTGAGTAAGAACACGGAAAGCATTTGAAAATTGTTACAAATGTCTTAAGTGCTATTTTAAAGAAATGAAGATATAATTATATAGTTCTTTAATTTCAAAGAGAAAAATTGAGAAAATAAAAGTGAAATTTCTGATTAAAAAATTGCAAAACAGCAAAGCTATCTAAAAAGCTATTTGCTCTGAGATGTTACAACTTTGAAATGAGCAAAATGATCATTAAAGATTAACAATTTAAAGAAACACATTTTTTTTCTAATGCAGCACTTATAACAAAAAAGTAAAAGCTTAATGGAAACTATATAGAAATAAATGTCAACACATATTTAGAAATGTTAAAGAAAAAACATTGAAAAATAAACTCAAGATTCAGCAAAACAGTTCATATTATTATTTAAAATTATCATCATTTTAACGAAGTGGCTTCTCATATTCAGGGTATAGCGTGTGCACAGGGCAGAGAGGGAAGAAGGTATTTGAGCACATGTGCACACAAGGACGTGTTGCGCAAATTCTGATGTATATTTTCAAGATAAGCATAATTATAATTAAGCTTAATTTCATGTATACATAAACAATATATATTTTAATTAACAAAATACAAGTGAGAGTATTCCTGCTTTTGCAAGTAAACCCAAAGCAAAACAAAACGGAAGCCATTCTATCATAATATCTGATAAATATTTATCGTATATTTTTCTATATTTATCTAGTATCTTTTATATGTTCCTTTCTTTGCTCTGCCTTTATGGAAGACTGGCATGTGTGTCACCAATATTAAACTATCCATTTGATTCCAAAGCTGAAAATAAAAGTCAACATATAGTTTTTAGGTTTTGTTGAGCTTAGTTTAGGTTTTGTTTAGTTTTTCACAAATTTAAAATGTGAAATACCAGTTGTACCTAACAAAAATCTCTTTAAGATGGAATTGAAAATTGTCTTTCTTTCTTATTTATTTATTTATTTATTTATTTATTTATTTATTTATTTATTTTTGAGATGGAGTCTGTCTCTGTCGCCCAGGCTGGAGTGCAGTGGTGCGATCTCGGCTCACTGCAACCTCCGCCTTCCGGGTTCAAGTGATTCTTCTGCCTCAGCCTCCCGAGTAGCTAGGATTACAGGCGTGAGCTACCACGCCTGGCTAATTTTAGTTTTTCAGTAGAGATGCCTGGCTAATTTTGTTTCTTTCAGAGGGTTTCTCCATGTTGGTCAGGCTGGTCTCCAACTCCCAACCTCAGGTGATCCACCCGCCTCGGCCTCCCAAAGTGCTGGGATTACAGGCGTGAGCCACCGCGCCCGGCCTGAAACTTTTCTATTTCTTCTCACAGATGTATGACGGATCATGAAAACAGACTTGGATTTTTACTCATGAAAAATGCTAATAATTAAAGATGCCTTTGTGAGTGCATTAAAATGCATTTTAACCAAGAAGGTATACAAAATTATGGTAAGTAAATATTTAGAAAACTCAGAATTTGAGTCATAGTATTTATTTTCTGCTCTTATTTTTTTTAGTATATCAAGTTCTAATCTGCAAAACACCTAGAAATGCCACACGAATGATTAAGCTGTTGCAATATTGCCATTTGATATAATTGCTATAATGGCTGCTGTAAAATTATTTTAGAAAAAAAAATTAGGCCGGGCACGGTGGCTCACGCTTGTAATCCCAGCATTTGGGAGGCTGAGGCAGGCGGATCACTCGAGGTCGGGAATTCGAGACCAGCCTGGCCAGCATGGTGAAACCCCGTCTTTACTAAAAATACAAAAATCAACCGGGTGTGGTGGCGGGAGCCTGTAGTCCCAGTTACTCCGGAGGCTGAGGCAGGAGAGTTGCTTGAACCCAGCAGGCAGAGGTTGCAGTGAGCCGAGATCACGCCACTGCACTCCTGCCTGGGCGACAGAGCAAGACTCCGTCACACACAAACACACACAGACACACACACACACACACACACACACACACAGAGAAAATTGTAAAAACACCTTTTGAAAATAGTTTGAAAGAATATTATGTCCTTTTTTAAACTTTATTAGATCTTCCAAGAAAAATATTTAATGTCATATAATGTAATTTAATGGAAATAGTTTGTTGTTGCCGTAAAATACCCATTTCTGGCAAGAAAATGGACTACTCACCAGAAAGCCCTCGAAACATTCTCCCTGTTTGCTAGAAGTTCTTCTACCTCAAATCCCCTCCACAGTGAAGATATTGTTGATTATACTTCCCCAACGTGGTTTAATTTAGGAGAAAATAGCAAGTGAAGAAGATGATAAAAACATGAAAAAATGCCTTTCCACATTTTCTTTTTTGTTGTTTTTTTTTTTTTTTTGAAACTACCACGCAGATATTACACACTCTCTATCAATTTTCTTAAATTGGAGGATATATGGCGTGGGGGAGAAATGTCCATCTTGTTAACATTAAGACACTCCTGACTGTCCTTTCTCTTCCACCACTGTCTTAAGCTGATTGAGTTGCTATAAAAAAGTACCATAAACTGGGTGGCTTTTAAACCGCAGAAATGCATTTCTCACAGTTCTGGAGGCTGATAAATCCAAGGTCAAATCACCAGTAGATTTGGCGTCTGGGAGGTCTCTCTTTCCGGTTCTAGACAGTGTCTTCTCACTGTGTCCTCACATGGTGGAAGGGACAAGTGAGCTCTCTGGGGTTTCATTTATAAGGACGTGAATCCCATTCATGAGAGATATAGCCTTATAACCTAATTATATCCCAAATGGCTTCCTAATACCAAAATCTTGAGGGTTAGGATTTCATATATGAATTGGGGGTGGGGGGCACAGAAATATTTACTTCATAGCAACCAACCACTATGATGCTGGGAGAAGGTTTAAAATAGAGAAAAAGAAATCCTGGGAGAGGGAACAAAAAAGAAAAAAATACCCAACTATGACTAGCATTTTGCAATTCGCCATATTAATTTGTCCTCCATGAAAACCCCTATAGCCACTCTGCTCAGCTTATTCCCTATTTCCAGTAGTCATTTCCCCAGAATCACAAGTTTCAGCTCATGCTCTGGGCCACTGACCCCCACCCAACTACACCAGTCCCACATTCTGTTTACAAGAAAACCAGCTCTCAGACATAAATATCATCAATACTTTGTAGTGTGGGTTTTGTGGCACCCAAAACACTTTACAATGCATTATTCTATTTTATTTTATTTTATTTTATTTTATTTTATTTTATTTTATTTTATTTTATTTTATTTTATTTTTAGATGGAGTCTCGCTCTGTCACTCAGGCTGGAGTGCAGTGTTGTGATCTCAGCTCACTACAATGCATTATTTTAAAATAAGATTGTTGGCCGGGTGCAGTGGCTCATACCTGTAATCCCAGCACTTTGGGAAGCCGAGGCAGGTGGATCCCTTGAGCTCAGTAATAAGGCTAGTATTTTGGCTTCCAAATGCTTATTATTTAACTTAGTTTTCAATTTGTTTACAATCCCAGCTGAGAAGGAACAGTGACAAATACTGAGTCTTTCAAAGACCCCCAAAATGGGTTCAGAATTAAGAAATGTTGAGAACCCAAAACAAAACAAAACAAAAATGACCATTTGCAGAGGGGAAATATATTAGGGAAAGAATTTGGTGGGACCAGGACCAGTGGCTTTGAGCTTTGTGCTCCAGGGTATTTTGATCTATACTGTGTATAGCAGCTTATGTTGGGACTAGCGTGTATTTACAGCGATGCTATTGGCTTTTATGTTCTGTGTGCTAGGCAAGAGGCTTTGGCATATAGTTTACCTTGGCAAATGACAGCTGCATGAGAGGATTAGCACTACCAAAGGCATGGGCCACATGGGCCTCAGCAAAAATCATGGGAGGCCTTTGCCAAATGTGGGGAACTTTAGGATAGAGGCTGCTGAGTCTTTAGCTTGAACTACATCTAGAATATATATGCTGGCATTCAGGGCAGATGCTGACAGATCACAAAGGCCTCAGTAAGCAGGAACAGTTGAGGCAAATATACAATTATAGGAAAAAGAGTGTCTTCACAGGCTATTAAGGCACTGGTTGGCAAAACAATCTCTACTAGTTTAAAACTGCAGCTGTGTTAGATTTGTGCTAGCTACACTGTGCAGGTTCTAACTTCGGATTATGAGTTACAGACTTAAGAATGTAGCTGAGTCTTCTAGAATAGAAAAATAAAATTAGATAATCAGAAAATACTAAAAAAAAAGAAAGCAAAACAAGAAACAAACTGTCAACCACTTATCACAGGGGTGCAGAAAATGTAGCAACAATGAAATGCTACTCAAAAGTTGTAACATTAAAGCAAAGGAAAGACTACGACTCATGCCTTGTTCTTATTAGGCCACTAGGGGCCAGAGACATCCACAGCAGTTTCAGCTACAGAGGATGTCTTTTTAACTGAGACCAAAGTTTTGGAGGGTAAACATTTTTTAGGAAAAGGTTTCTTAGGCCTTACGCAGTACATTGCAATTTGTGGAAATGATCCAGGAATGACAACGCCTGTTTGTATGAGAATGTGCACTCTACGTTGCCAGATTGAACCTGTACTCAAGTCATTATTGGAGTGCCAGAAACATGGGACTTAAAGAGCAATGGCAATTAATGTGGTAATCACAACTCCATGATTAATTGTTGGACAGGAATGAGTTTTCATTCAGGTGATTTTGGAGACATGGCAAAGAATGAATGATCTTTTGGTCCAGGGAGGCTAAATTCAATTTTTACTCCATCCTCTCTCCTTTACTATCTTAACACTGAAACTCCACTATGGTCTCTTATAGCATGAAGAAAGACTTCTGAGAACAAAATTTGGCTAGGGATAAACTGTTCTAGATGTGATGGACTGCTTCTAATCTACATTTGGGTAGCTTTGGTTTTGTACATAAAATATGATGTGTATGATTAACTCTTTGGACCCTCTAAAAGTGAGCCATATCATCTATGGCTAATACAACTCAAGAGGCTCTAAAGAACTGAACCCATTCCCATGACAGATAGTTCTGGTTGTAGTTACTAAAGAAACATGGCTCAGGCACTGAGAACCAACTGTTTGAGAATATACAAAATTTGTAGTTAGGGTGGGGAAATTTTACATTAATTTATTCAAAATAAAATATTGCAAGAGTAAAGATAATTTCAATATGAACTTCAATTTCTCTGGGTTTTAACATTTTAGGACTTTAATTTGCAAGGAGGTTTATTCTTTCTGACTTTAGTTCTCCCAAGTCACAATAGGAAGGAGATTATATTCAAATTTGGGACATCTCTTTGTTCCTAGAATTTTATTGAAATGTCTTTATATATTTTGTTCTTAAAGTACGTTGCCTTCAATTTCAAGGTAGGTCTGAAATGGGCTGTATTGGACTAAGTGAATTTACATTTGTAATGGAAAATGGAATAGGGAACAATTATTTAGCATTACTAAAATGAAAACTTGGATTTGGTACAATTAATATGTTTTGATTCATTTGTATCCTTCGGTGACTCCTGGAGGATAGCAAAAACGTGCAGTGGTTGGGATTGGGAACATGGCAGCATGAAGGTGGGAGCAGACGTGTCCAGAGTGATGGTCAGCCTTCTTGCCAGAGGAAAATAGCCAAAACTCTGCTTGACTGTAGATTTAACAATGAAGCCCACTTAAGTAAAGGAAAAACAACAATAAAACCAAACCAAACCAAAACTGTGGCATATCATGGTAACTATATTGGGAAGAGCACACTTTTCTTGTAAAGTTTTCTTTGTGTGAAGGAGCCTCAATTACTATGAAACTTTTGGCTTCTCTCTAGCTCGAGGGAGATGCGATGCCTGATTGGTAATTTTGGGAATAATATTTTTGACATAATTTGTTCCTTCTTCTCTTCCTCATCTCGGGAGGGAAATGCTCACAGGGAAAGAACATTCTCTTTTGTTAAGGGTTTTGTTTTTAGTGTCACAGAATTACACAGGTTGAGCACTACTTCTCCCCACCCCCTCCTCAACCCTCTCTTTAGAAGGGCTAATGCCGTGACAGAAAAGTGCATTTGATGGTGTTTATAACTATGAAGATTCAGGGTTCAATTAGCAGAACCCCTTGACGAACATAAAGGGTTCAACTTGTTATTTGTCAGGTAAATAGCTGATATTTTGGCCCCCAAACCTTATTCTTTGTATTATTTATCAAAATTTTCAGATCCTAGGTGGTATTTAAAAGTATTATTTAATAGTCCCATTTAAAGACAGAAACACAAATAAACATTTACAATACAAACCATTGTTAAGTTTAGGTTGCTGAAAATCAGCTATAATTCTACCGTTTCTCCTATATGTAAAGCCAGCAGAAAGGCAACTTTGGCTGCAGGCTGTTTCTTCCAAAACACATGGTAGCTGCGAGCAAAATTCACTCTCATTTAAATCAGTGTATCTCAGAATCTAGAGAACAATGTGATCAGTCTTTTGCAGAATTATGCAGACATGGAAAATAATACTTCACATTTAAATAGATACAAATAAACAGGATTTTAGATACTAAGTTACACTAACTATGATACTGTTTTTATTTATGTTGAAAAAGAAAAGTGACCATTTACCTCTATGGAAGAAGCACTGGTTAGAATTATGAAATCAGAATTTTTGGTTAAACATGTTATCTGTGAATTGTTCATATAATTTTTAAAACATAACGGCTCTGTAGTGTTATTAAATAAATGACGTTTCGGAAAGTCCAAAGAGTGTGAAAATTTTTGTTTTCTAAGTGATGCAAAATGGAATATGTGGTAAGGATAAAATCCCTCTAGGGTTTTTGGAATGTAGACCAGTAATGAAAGCATAGAACCTAGTTTATGAGTTAGAAGGATAATATGTACTATAGAAATAATAGGAGGGCAAGTGGGAAAATTAAAAATATAGAAGCTTTGTGTGCCTAAGGAAAGGCATTGACATTTTCAAATGATATTTGGTAATGCCATTTCTGTAAATATGTTTAAAGTACAGAAACTTTTTGCATGAAAAACCTGTGGAAATTCTCCTTGGGAAGTCTTGAGGGACAACAAAGAAAGCTTTCAAAAACAGTGCTGGTTTTCACTTTGTGGAGTGGATATCTCAGATATTCTAATGTATGCAGAGGTAAAGGATTTAGTGTTCCAGCAACTTCTATTCTAACTTTCTTATCTCATTCTCTTCCTTCACAAGGACTCATTTCGGGGATAGGAAGTGCACATCAGAGGGTGTGGATCTGACCATGGTGCTGATTTCTTTTTCAATAGGACTTCCATATTATCACCTCAGTGTAAAAAGAATAAAGCATATTTTGTAATAATGATAATTTTATATCTCTGTTTGCTTAGGTTTGCTAAAGGAGAATATAAGCAATCACAATATTCAAGATTTAAAGTAATGTTGATCTGGCATTTACTACCTTTACAACTTGATAAAATTATTTAAACTTTCTGAGTTCAGGTTATTTGTTTATAAATTGATATCGATAATAGATATATTTTATTGGATTGATGATTATATATGGTATTATGAAAGCATCTTACCTAGAAAAAAAATCACAATAAATGTTATATCTCTTTCTCCTCCACTATAATCATTTACTGAAGAACAAATGCCTAATTCATTATCAACATGTAGCAGTCTGGATGACTGCATTCCTATGATACTGGTTGCTGAGACAGTTGATCATATAAACTTGATTATATATGAGACATTTTTATACTGAATAGTTTTAAAAATTGTCTAAATATATTGGTGTAATCTGAATATGATCTTTCAATTTCTAGGTGGATGTCATATGATAGAGACATTTTTGGAGGTAGACAATTTACCATTTTTTGCCAAAACTATCCAGTGAATAAACAATACCCAGAAGGACTTCAACAATGTTGCTGTGGGAACACACACCATCTTTAGCATTTGGCTGTGCATCAGGAAACATTTTGTTCTATTATTCTCTTTCTATTTAAAATGTTCTGTGTCCTTAGACAAGTCATTAAAATCTTTATATGCCTTTTTTAATATATTCAATCATTTTATGCTATGAAGGTGGCTGGTTAAAATAGTCTGTATACATTCATTCAGTTCAAACAAAAAACAAAATAAAAAAATCACAAGAAAAATGTAAGCATAGATCTATAATTTCCTGGATCTCAAACTCTACCAGCTGAGTTTGATTCCAAAACTTTTCTTCTTTTCTCTAAACAAGGGGTCAGCTAGGAATTCCATCCATAAAATGTATTTGGTTTTTCATCAAGTTCTTCTGCTTTTGTCCTGAACTTGGGGTCTTTCTCTAAGCATTGTGCTCTCAAATTCTGTTTTCATGTTGCTCAAAATTCCTTTTTGGGACTTCAAATTTGCATTTCATTTTATCTGATCCTAGGTATCAGAATCCTGGTCTTCACTCTTGCTTATCAAACTCTATAGGCATAAAATATGTCATTCTGCCTTGCTGAACTAAATACTTTCTCTGAAAGCAATCTCATAAAATGTAGAGAGCTAGCAAGCTAACTCTATTTCATCCAAGTCTAAGGCTTTATCCAAATCCTAACAAATAACAAACTCTTTCCTGGAGTACCAGTAAGGTAATTTAAGATTGAAATTCTTATGACGTGTGTGTGTGTGTGTGCACGCACATGTGTTTGTTGTAAAAATTTAGGTAAAATAATTAAGAACACGTCTAATGTGACACGGAGTTTGCCTGGGTTGCTTTGATCTTAGAAGCCCAAACTAGAATTTAAAATGACCTTGATAAATTAGAGTAGTCATTCATCAAAAACAGTATGAAATTTAATAGGGACAAGTGCAAGGAGGCACACAGGGGAAACAACTAAGTATGCATGCAATAAGCGCAGGGGTGACTCTAAGCAATTCTTAAAAAAAAAATGTGAAAATTATAGGGGAGAAAAGCTGGAAATTAATCAGCATTTAACTGTTGTTAATTTTCAAGAACTGATATGACACTTAGATACACAGTATTATGATCTATCATAGAAAAGCAGAAAAGTAATCTTTTGGCTCAGTAAAATCTGAGGATAATCCTCTTCTACATTTTGCCAGTAGTGAGAACTTTATTACAGCAGTATGTTTATTCGTTCCATAACTATTTTTTGAGACACTACGTGTCCTGTGTAAAGTGTTAAAAATTGTCATTTGCTACATCCTTCTAACTATCATGGGTAACAAAATAACATTTGTATCACTATAAATGTCCCTTGTATTACATTTTCTAATTTTATTGTATTCTGTCTTGGGACATTTGTTACATTTTGTCTGTGCAGCATCTTCTCTTTTAGAATTTTGTCCTCCCTTCTGGCGAGATAATTTAATGAAATATCTATACTTCACTGTCTGCCACTGGCCAATCCACCAAAGTGAGTCATTGAAGGATGAGCACATAATAAAAAGTGAACTGTTTCTAAGTCATTCAAGGATCCTGTCAGAGTTATAAAGAAATAGCTCTTTTCTTCACTCTGGAACCTGTAAACATAAGTATAGGGTAAGCCAGAAATCTGTTGACCCTCTTTGTTTGTCTGTGTGGAGAGCTTGATTAGTCCTCAATGAATCCAAAAGAAATTAGAGTTCATATTTGGATGAAATGAAACACAATTCTAATTATATCACTGAGTCATTAGAATCAAAGTGGACTTTTTACACCTCATTTGGACTTTAAAGTTAAATGAACTAATAGATTTTTTTCTTCTTCTTAAGCTAATTTGATTTGGATTTGTGACACTTGCAACCAAAGAGTTTAGACTAATATATACATATGTATTTGTTTATATTAATAGACTGTACTGTAAGGTAATACTTGGAGTAAGGAGGTTCTCTTCTCCCCAACTCCTATGCCAAGATGATGATTTTAATATCAGTGTTACCAGAAAGAGGCAAATATATAGCAAAATAAACAAACTGCATTAGGTAGCACATTGACATACTTGAGAGGTAAATCTTATTTCCTCCAAATTGTAATGTCTGAAATTTAGAGCTAGGGTCATGAAAATACCATGGTAGTGATGATGAAGGCTAATATGATGCATATCAGATGAAAGGGGTGATGTTTAATTTTGTGTGTCAATATGACTGGGCCACAGGGTACCCAATATTTGGTTATATTTCTTTGTAAGTATGTTTATGAATGAGGTTAACATTTGAATCAATAGACTGTATAACAGATTTCCTACTCCAATGCATCTGGGCCTCATCCAACCCACTGAATGTTTGAATAGAATATAAGGCTGAGTAAGAAAGAATCCTCTCTCTCTCTGCCTATTTTCAAGTTGGGGCATCAGTCATCTCCTGCCTTTGGACTTGGATGCAGACAATGCATTAGTTAGCATTCTCTAGAAAAACAGAACCAATAGTAATTTTATTCTGGAAATTGGCTCATGTAAATATGGAGGCTGAGAAGTCCCGCCATCTTTCATCTGCAAAGTAGAGAACAAAGAACGCTGGTGGTCTAATTCAGTGAGTCTGAAGACCTGAGAACCAGTGGTGATGTGGGGGAAGGAGGAGTAGAACCTGGTGTCAGTCCCAGAATTCAAAGGCATAAGAACCAGGGGCTCTGATGTGTGAGGGCAAGAGAAAATGGGTGTCCCAGCTTAGGGAGAGGGAGAGGGAATTTTTTCTTTCTCCACCTTTCTCCATTATTTTATTCTACTAGAGCCCTCAACAAATTGGAGGATGCCAACTCACACCGGTGAGGGTAAATCTTCTTTACTTAGTCTACTGATTCAAATGGTAATCGCTTCCAGAAACACCCTCACAGATACATCCAGAAATCATATCTTATCAGCTATATGGACATCTGTAAGCACAGTCTGGTTGACATATAAAATAAACCATCACAGACTAAAGTTATATCATCAGTTTTCCTGGGTCTTCAGCTCTCTGACAGTAAATCTTGGGACTTCTCAGCCTCCATAACCCTGTGAACCAACTCCTTATAATTCCTTATCATAAATATCATTATGATATCCTTATGCAGAAGAATGAAACCAGACACTTATCTCTCACCATATACAAAAGCCAAATCAAAATGAATTATAGACTCAAATCTAAGACCTCAAATTATGAAACCACTACAAGAAAACATTGGAGAAAATCTCCAGAACAGGCGGAGGTTGCAGTGAGCCGAGACTGGGTCACTGCACTCCAGCCTGGGTGACAGAGCGATACTCAGTCTCAAAAAAGAAAAGAAAAGAAAAGAGAAGGAAAAAGAAAGAAAGAAAGAAAGAAAGAAAGAAAGAAAGAAAGAAAGAAAGAAAGAAAGAAAGAAGGAAGGAAGGAAGGAAAGAAAGAAAGAAAGAAAGAAAGAAAGAAAGAAAGAAAGAGAGGAAAGGAAGAAAGAAAGAGAGACAAGAAAGAAAGAAAGAGAAAAGAAAGAAGGAAGGAAGGAAAGAAAGAAAGAAAGAAAGAAAGAAAGAAAGAAAGAAAGAAAGAAAGGAAAGGAAGAAAGAAAGGAAAGGAAGAAAGAAAGAAAGAAAGAAAGAGAAAAGAAAAGAAAAGACTCTCCAGAACATTGCATTGGTCTGGGCAATAATTTCTTGAGTAATATCCCAAAAGCACAGGAAACCAAAGCAAAAATGGACAAATGAGATCACATCAAGTTAAAAAGCTTCTGCACAGCAAAGGAAACAATCAATAAAATAAAAAAACCACCCACAGATTGGGAGGGATTTATAACCAGAAAGTATAAAGAGCTCAAACAACTCTACATGAAAAAGAAAATCATAATCTGATAAAAAAAAAAAAAACCCATGGGCAAAATATTTCAATACACATTTCTCAAAAGAAAACATACAGATGGCAAACAGGCATATGAAAAGGTGCTCAACATCATTGATTATCAGGGAAATGCAAATCAAAACTACAATGAATATCAACTCACAGGAATTAAAATAGCTTATGTCCAAAAGGCAGGTAATCGCAAATGCTGGTGAGGATGGGGAGAAAAGGGAACCATTCTATGCTGTTGATGGAAATGCAAATTTGTGCAAACACTATGGAGAACAGTTTGGAGGTTCCTCAACAAACTAAAAATAGAGGTATCATAAGATCCCACAATGTCACTGCTGGGTATATACCCAAAAGAAAGGAAATCAGTATATTTAAGAGATATCTGCACTTCTTTGTTTGTTACAGCACTGTTCACAATCGCCAAAATTTCAAAATTTTGGATAAAGAAATGGATAAAGGAAAAGTGGTACATATATACAATGGAGTACTATTCAGCTGTGAAAAAGAATGAGATCCTGTTATTTGCAACGACATGGATGGAACTGGAGATCATTACATTAAGTGAAATAAGCCAAGCATAGAAAGATAAACATCACGTTATCAGTTATTTGTGGGATATAAGATCATAACAATTGAACTCATGGTCGCAGAGAGTGGAAGAATGTTTACCAGGGACTGGGAATTGTAATAGGGGAATTGGAGAAAGGTGGGGATGGTTAACGGGTGTAAAAAAAAAAATAGGGCCGGGCGCGGTGGCTCACGCCTGTAATCCTAGCACTTTGGGAGGCCAAGGCGGGCGGATCACGAGGTCAGGAGATCCAGACCATCCTGGCTAACACGGTGAAACCACGTCTCTAATAAAAATACAAAAAATTAGCCTGGCGCTGTGGCGGGTGCCTGTAGTCCCAGCTACTCAGGAGGCTGAGGCAGGAGAATGGCGGGAACCCGGGAGGCGGAGCTTGCAGTGAGCCCAGATGACACCACTGCACTCCAGCTTGGGCGACAGAGTGAGACTCCATCTCAAAAAAACAAAAAAAGTTAGAATAAATAAGACCTACCATTAGATAACATAATAGGGTCACTCTAGTCACTAATAATTTAATTGTAGATTTTAAAATAAGTTATTATAAAGTATAGTTGGATTGTTTGTAACACAATGGATAAATGCTTGAGGGGATGGATACCTCATTCTGCAAGATGTGATTATTATGCATTGCATGCCTGTGTCAAAACATCTTATGTACTCCATAAATATATACACCTACTATGTACTCACAAAAAATAAAAATTAAAAAACAATCCAGGCACAATGGCTCATGCATATAAACCCAGCACTTTGGGAGGCTGAGACAGGCAGATCTCTTGAGCCTAGTAATTCGAGATCAGCCTGGGCAACACGGCAAAATCCTGTCTCTGCAAAAAACACAAAAATAAACCAGACATGGTGGCGTACGCTTGTAGTCCCAGCTACTCGGGAGGCTGAGGTGAAAAGATCACCTGAGCCCAGGGAGGTCAAGGCTGCAGTGAGTCAAGATCCAGCCACACTGCACTCCAGCTTGGGTGACAGAGCAAGGCCCTGTCTCAATATAATAATGATACAAATAAATAAATAAACATCATTATGGTATAGATGCCACATACACACACACACATATACAGACTTCTGAATAGCTCAGTTTCTCTGGAGAACTCAGACAAAAACAGATTTTGATATAGTAGACAGTGCTATCCAGTAGAACTTTCTGTGATAATGAAAATGTTCTTATCTGTGCTGTTCAATACAGCAGTCACTAGCCACATGTGGCTATTGGGTGCTTAAAATTTAACTAGTATGACAAAAGTGCATAATTTAAATTTAATTGCATTTTAATTATTTTAAATCAAAATTTAAATAGCCATTCATGCTTAGTACCTACCTGGTGGACAGCACAGCTCTAGAGAAAAAGCCATATTTTTTAAGCCATACTATTTTGTAACTTGTATGTTACCTTCCAGATCCATTTCCTGCTATTCTCTTCTGTTCTTTTAGTAATTGTTAGTTTGCTACTTCAAGATGCTTTATTGCTTTTATTTTTTCTTTTTATTGTATCAAGGTACAAATCAGATGTTCCTTAGAGATGTGTATAAAATTGGCTATTTACAATAGTGAGATTTTAAGGTAGTTTAATTTAGCTTGGGTTTATAAAAAATCAGTAAAATCCTAATGTTCTTCACAATTCCTTTATTTCAGCTATGTGAATTACCAAGATAGCTCCTGTTATTTAGTCAATCTGGGTCAAGAAACAGGGTCCTTAGTTGGTTTCAGTATTTTTAGTCTGCCCTTCTCATTCCATAGAAGTACTCGTAATATTCCTAACAGAAATTGTATTAAATGGTAATGCAAATACAAAGAATCTTCTGCTCTAAGGAAACACAAAGATTCACACTAAAAAACAGTCACTGACACTTAAAAAATGCACACTTTAATAAATGACTATAGGTTTTCTTATTTATTTATTCCAAACTGCTTGTGGCTGAAAAAGTCAGGAACAGTTAAGAAATGGTGAACAATCTGCTGGGCGCAGTGGCTCATGCCTATAATCCCAGCACTTTGGGAGGCCAAGGCAGGTGGATCACTAGAGGTCAAAATTTCAATCCATCCTGGGCAACATGGTGAAACCTTGTATCTACTAAAAATGCAAAACTCAGCCAGGCGTGCTGGCACACACCTGTAATCCCAGCTACTAGGGAGGCTGAGGCACGAGAGTCACTTGACCCCGGGAGGCAGAGGTTGCGGTGAGCCGAGATTGCGCCATTGACTCTGGCCTGGGGGACAGAGACAGTGTCCCCACCCCCCACCCCCACCCCCAAAAAAAGGTCAACAATTATTATGAATGGGGAGTGGAATTTTATTTATTTCTCCACAGCTTATATTTGTAACAGCCCATATGGACTTCTTTTGTAAATGAAAATAGAAATAATTTTTTAAGTGCAGAATCTTTTAGTTCGAGCCATTCCACTTAAGAATACTTAGAATTACTTACATAGGGAAATACTGCCCTTAAAACAGACACAGAGGAAAGATAAAGGAATCTATATTTTTACAGGATAAACCAGACACCCATTCCTTTAGCAAACACATATTGAGTGATTACTATGTTTATTTTTAGCTGCCAAAAATTTGATCAACAAGCCAAAGTCCCTGCATTCTTCTTGCCACTTACATTTTAGTTGGGGAGAAAAACAAACACACATGTAAATAAATGATTTAAATTATATAAGTTCAAGTTTACAAATGATACGAAGAAAAATAAAATTAGAAGCATGAAGAGTGACCAGAGGAGGTAGGGGTGAAGAGGAAAAGGGTTATCAGCAATGCCTCACTGAGAATGTCACATTTGGACAGACTCTTTGGTAATGTAAGGAAATGACAAATATGATGATCTCCAATAGGAGTGTTGCAGGGAAAAAAAAACTCCACATGCAAAAAATTATATGTCAGGAATAAAATTGGCTTGAATAGCTATAGAGTCATTGTTGTGAAAGTTTTTTTTGTTGTTGTTTACTTGGTTTTTTTTAATGAAGTCAATTTTCAGTATGATTATGTTCAAAAGTAGACAGTGATCTTCAGGTTGTTTCCGTTTATAGATGATTATTTGCAAAACTTCCATTTTACGTATTACCTGCTGTTAAACTCAAGGATCATATGATCATCTATGAATTAGGGTTAATATGTGCTTGTCCTGAGGAAAATGTAGAGAAAGGAATTATCCTTCTTGATGAGTTTAAGAAAGTACATGATGGCCACATATCTTAGATCATTTACATTCAATCATTGTATAAATAGAATTTACACTACATAAGATCATTAGGTCATTTGCACTCTATACGTTGTGATTGCATATTTTAAAACGAGAGAAGGTGAAGATGTTGATCATATTGCTACTTGATGTAGCTATATAAAAAGGAAGGAAGAGATCATTTTGAGGTTATACATTTCTGAAAATTTGTGAATTTATTTTCATTACTTTTATATACTTTCATCAACATAACATGAAATTCTAATAATAAGACATGTGGAGTGGGGTGAGGTAAAATAATAGGTTATATTTTGAAGAGGGACACTGAGTGTTTTATAAACAGTAGCAAAATTGTAAGTTAAAAAACTATCTAAAGCAGTAAATATTGCCATAAATATATACAAAAAATACATATACCAACCATACAAACCATTTTGTATATATATACAAAAATACATATACCAACCATATACACACATCATATATATTAATACTACTTATATTGTGGTGTATATACTATATACTATGCCTATAAATTCTTAACATTTCTGCAACACAGGCAGATTATCTCATACTTAAAATGCTAGCAAGCAAGGAGAATGACAATCAATGTTTCCAGTACTCAATAAGCTAATTTTCTTCCACAATGGTGTACATTTTCACCAGGCCATGAAATCTGTTTTTCTAGGTCAATTTACTACAAGGGTCAATTTGCTATGAGAGTCAATTTAGCATGAATTTTTAGATTTTCAGTTCTGGGAATGACTGTATATTTTAAAAAAATTAGATATTTCCCCTAAATTTAGCATTTTAAAAGAGAAATATAAATGTTCTGGTGAACCATGTGAAATCACAGGAAATTTATCCATAGTGATAAAAGTGACATTTGTTTTCCCATTTTCATTTCAATATTTTTAGCATAATTAAAACCGTAGACAGTTTACTTGGCTCCCAAAAGTGTAAAAGAGCATAATCATCACAGTCAGAATAAATTTCAATACTTTCAACTGTGGTAGAAACAGTCATAAAATATAAGCTAACTGTAGTCTCTTCTGTGATAACTACCTTAAAAAAAAACCTATCTTTGGTACTACTGAGAGAGGAGGAGGAGGTTGCCATCTTATTCTGTGATAGTATAAAGAAAGAGGACCAATATGTTCAAGGCAGAACAAAATATAAACTATCTTTTATATAATACATTAATTACTAATGAATTACTTGCTTGTAAGGCATTAATTTCTCTTCGTTTTATATTGGATTTCAAAACACTTAATTAAATATTTAAAAATATTTTTGCCATGAAGTGAAAGAGAATACGGGGCTTAATTATAAAGAAAGTAAAGAAAATTTTGCAAACAGGTTTAATATTTCAAACTATTGCATATAGGGATGCGTGGATAGATGCCATCTTTTGGCAATTTATGAAACTAATTAATTGATGATTCCTATGGGGTCAGTTAATTTATACATTTACTGCCACATTGATGATATATGTAGACAATATAACCTTAAACCTATGAAATGAAGATACTGGAAGATATTTAATTGTATTCACAGAACAGCTGTAAGTTTTAGAAATGTATTTATTCGTACAAGTCTATATAACATTTTGACAATGTCACATTTTTCTAAAATATTCAAATATCTCACAACATTGAGTACTGGCAATTTTTAAATTAATTGTGTAATAGTATCTAAGAATAGACTACTTGAAAAATAGAGTATTATCTGTTCTTTGTACATGAATCTGACATTATTTATCCAAATGACCAGAGTTTATGTTTTCAGTATTTTTCTCCCATAAATGCAATCAGTGCACATTTCACTTCTAGTCCCCTGGGTGTATGGGCTAAAGAGAGCCCTTAATCACAAGAAAGTTCATGACTCTCACTTAATCAAACTTTCAACTTAAAAAAAACTAATTAAATTAATCATTTTGTTTCATAGTTTACCAATGGAGTTACTTTTGTCATGAGTTTCTGAAAGCAGTAATTTACCAAAAATCCCCTAGGCTTTTTAGGCTCTTCCGTTTCAGAGATTGCCCACTGAAATTATCCCTGGGGGTGAGTATGTGGCAAAATAGTGTTAAAGACCAGTGCTTCTCAAACTTTGTGTGCGTACAAATCACTACAAATCTTGGTATAATGAAGATTCTGACTCCGCAGGTATGGGGCAGGGCTGAGATTCTGCTGTCCTGATAAATTCTTAGGTGTTGCTGGTGCTGCTGGTCTGAGAACCACATATTTAGTAGTAACGCTATAGATTATATGAGGGTACAAATCCAAATTGCTGTCATGGTTATCAACAAGACTCAGAAGAAGACTCTTTTTCAGAGTATTGGTTACAAATGCCTATATATTCATGCTCAAATGGGGTATTTTCTTCAATATAATAATCTTAAAGTTTTTTTTTCTATTGCTCAATGTAGCTTTATAAGTAATTAAGTCCAGCTCCTTCATATTATAGTTGAGGCCACTGAGGGTCAAGGAAGTTGAATATATGCCCAAGGTCATACAGCTAGAAGCAGCATGTGCATTAGAACCCAGAAACTCCGACTACCATTTCAATAAACAAATCCTAACTTCTTTGGCATTTCCATTTGTTATATTCTCCCTGACACAAAACCTAAGCGTGAGTCAATAATGATTAGAATTTCACCTTTTGATCCTCACAATAGGTTAAATGATAGCAGTATCTGTGGACTCACTGACTGACTTTCCTAACAGCTAAAACTCACAGTAGGCAACTATCTCCTACAATAACACAGGTATTCACACATCTTTCTTCAAGAATGTGCTTGCAGTTTTATTATGGACATTTTGTTCCTTAATTTTGAGAACCTGGGGAGAAAGGTGGGCAGAGAAATGAATGGGTCATTAGTTAAAAGGCAAGGGTTGAATTTGCAAAAGGTTGTGGCAAAGTAAGCAACAAATGGGAAAGAGTGAAGGGCATCAATATTGATCTTGCCTCTCATCTTTCCCTCTGTCTTCTTGCTTGCAGGTTTCTATTGTGTAGTCTCTCAAACAAAGCCGACTTTATTTATGGTGTGACTGATTTAACACTACTGAACCAGTCCATCATCTGCCAATTTGGTCCAATTAAAAACTGGTCATAGGGAAAACCTGGGAATTAAGCTCATTTAGAAACACAACTTCTGATTCATTTATGTCTTGCTCATTTATGTCTCCTCTTCTAAAGGACACATTTCAGGGTGTTGATTTATAGAGGTGGCTCTTTCCAGCTTCCTGAGTTTCTGTGACTCCTTTTGGTTAGGTCCATTAAAAAAGTGCACTTCTGCCTCTCTCCCCTCGTAAGGCTATTGTTAAAACATTTTAAAGAGGCTTGCCTAAGATTTCCTGCTATCCAGAATTAGAAAAATCCCAATAAACAGCTAGAGTCACCATTTTTAAAGTATGTACGCATTGCATGGACTTACGCTAACATGATTGCTTTCTCACTTAATCCTTACAACTCTTTAAGTACTATTATCCTGGTTTTGCAGTTGAGGAGGCTTTAGACTTAAACGTTCAAGTAAATCATCAAATATTATAAAACATGAAGCGACAGCTATGCTATTTGAACCAAAGGCTGCCTGATGCCAGTGCCAGCACTGCTACTCACCAAGCTCTACTGAGATTTATACCTAGACTAAGTAAAACCTCTGAACAACAACAACAACAAAATTATTTCCTCCACTTGTTTTTCCTTTTTTGCACAAGTTCTTGTAGGCAGGTAGGTGTTCCACTCCCTATACTTAGCCTCTCCCACGCCCTCTGCAATCTTTCCCTTTTGCTGCTGGAATCGTCAGAGATTGCTACTGCAGCTGGTGAGTGGGCAGGTGCAGCCACCATCTGCTCTAGGAGTCCAAATGCGCAGAAGAACCTCGCACCCAGGACCTGGCCCAGGCACCACGAATTCCAGAACATGCTGGGGACACGGCTAACCCCGCCCCCTCGCGGTGGCGATTGGCTGAACCCTTCCTGAGTGCAAAGCGCTGATTAATGAAGGCAGTTGTCTCGCCTGCAAGTTCGGGCGAGACATCTCTAAAGAGGTAAGATCCGCCAGGGGTGCTGAATGGGGGCTTCAGTTCTTCCTGCCCGAAGGGTCCTTGAGAAGCCTGTTTGTTTTTCCCGGCGCTTGTCTCCACCCATCCCCTTCTCTCATTGGCCAGACCTGGTGGGCGGGGGAGTTTCCATTGGCCGGGGGGCGGTGTCTGTCCCTGGCCGGGGTGGGGGCGGGGCCTCCGCCGCTCTGAGCTTGCCCTTGTGTCTGGTGCTTCGTAGAGCTGCCGCCGTCGCCGCTGCCGCTGCCGCCACAGCCGCCGCTGCAGCCGGAGCATCCGGGAGCCGCCACTGCCGCCGCCGCTGCCGCTGCTACCGCCACTAGCGCTGCTTCCACTGCTTCTACCTCCCCTCCCAGGACCCCGAGACACCCCGGGCGCGAGCGGCAGTGCTGCTTGCTTGCTCCTCCTCTCCCCCAGCCCTTCCCCTCCGTGACCTACCCACTCCTTGCAGCCCTCGCCCGCACCTTCTCCAACACCCCGGCATCCCTGCACCACCTGCTCGGGCAGCCCCGGCGGGCTCTGGGACTTGCTGTGCGCGCCGAGAGGAAGGCAAGCTCCAAACCCCTGCCTGGAAGACGGGCTGTCGCGGCTGCACCACCAGCAGGAGGAGGAGGAGAAGAAACTATTTCGCGATACCCCATTCTGCGGGTGCTTTGCCGCTGCCGCTTCTGCTGCCGCCGATCCGAGTCCGCGGGTTCGAACACCGCAGCGGTGGGGACGGTGGGTCCGGCGGGCGCCGGGAGGAGGACACCAGCGGAGCCCTGCACTCTCGTGCCCCGCTCACCAGCATCTACTTGCCCCCTCGTTCCTTCCCCAGCCCTTTAGAGAAGGGACCATGATTTGGAAACGCAGCGCCGTTCTCCGCTTCTACAGTGTCTGCGGGCTCCTGCTACAAGGTAATCCCCGCCCCGGCGCAGGGAACATCAACTTCTCGCCCATTCCCCATCTTCCCCATTCCACCCCATATTTCCACTCTCCCCTCCCAGTCTCCCTGTCCCCAGCGATTTCCACCCCCTCCCCCTACTCTCTGGTGCGGCAGGGGGCAGTGGCAGTTTGCACCAGCCCCTCGAATTTCTAACACTGGCTCAGCCCTGCCTTCCCAGCAGTCAGCCCCTTACGCGGCACCTTTTGCCTTCTCATTCACCTGAGCTTCCTTCATCTCACTCCATTCCCGCCAGCATCCCCCTCCCACGCCTTTTGGCTGGCAACTTGTGCCTCTCTGAACATTCCACCCTCCCGACAACCCCCACCAGCCACCTCCCACATCACGCTCTTGAGCGACCCTCTCCATCTCTTGTCATCTCTTTAACCTCCCCCTTTTCAGGTCGCCTTTTCTTTTCCCCCTCTTCCCACCATCATCATATCCGTGTGTCTTTAAAAAGTGTGTGAGAGCCTGGGAGCGAGCTACCAAGACGGGCGAGAACAGCAGCAGCGACAGCACCGTGTGCATTGCAATAACATCCCCGGGGGGGAAATGTGTTCTGAGACGTGTCATTTACCTAGGAAGAGAGAGGGGACTCTGTCTGGGATTTAAAAAAAAAGAAAAGAAAAGAAAAAGAAAGGAAAAAGAATAAGAAAAAAGAAAAAATGAGTGAATGAATGAATAAATAAACCAAGAATTTAAGAAAGGGGAGAAAAGGCAAAAAAATTAAAAGACCCAAACCCACTTTATCAACACATTGACTTTTTATTATTCAGTCTGTGTCGTTTCTTTTTTTTTTTAACCAAAGAAATATATGCTCCCTAGCAGTTACTTTACTGCTAAGATATTTTCACTTAGATTTCCTACCTCTCCATCCTCTCTCTGCCGCTTCTTTCCGTAATTAATATTATCCTTTCACGTGAAATGTAAGAACCTCTGCGACCGCAGCAGTGGAGGGAAACCGCACAAAACGCTGTTATTATGCAAATCACTGGGTTTGGATGCCGGATGGCTAAGGAATCTGGGTTCACTTTTCTCCAGACCCTCTTTTTTGGAGGAGGGAGTGAGGGGGCTGTGTGGAATGGGAGGACGATGCTGATTATGAAATAAATGGCAATGCATAGTACAGGAGTGCATGAGGACACTTTGGGTGGTGGAGGAGGCAGGGGCGGCGTGCTAGGGCTAGGTGGGCAGGGGCTGTAAGGCGGAAGATTGTTGCTTTGAAGAGAATAGTATAGGGATGTGGCTTGAGTGTGAGATATAGCAAGGATGGATGTGAAATGATGATTGATAGAATATTTTTTAAGCTAGGTGACTAGATTTTTTTTCTTTGCCTGCCTCTAATCCTTCTGTCATTATTTGGGTATTTGCAGGAAAGGTAAGTTGATCAAATTAATTTTTCCCTGGGTAAAAGGGATCTGAAAGTAAGACACACGTAGACTCACTGGCGTGCAAAACCCAGTCGGCCTTTGGAGGATTTAAATGAGGTCAATGAACCATCTTTCAGCAAGTTCTTGGAATGCATCCTCTCTCCTGCCCTCCTCCGGGATATAGACTGGGGACCGAATTTTATTTATGCATATTTATGAATGTGAAAAAAGAGGCGGTGGGCAGAATTTTCCTGAATTAACTAACTGACCTTGTAGAGATCTTGTGTAGAAAATTTTGGTGGTACTTTTGTGTATTTTACGTTGGGTGTAAATTTCAGATATGTCATGTGTGCCAGAATCTCCGTGAAGGCAGACAGCACATTCTCCCTGCGTACACCGCCGAGTCCCATTTCTCACCTTTCACACCCCCATCCTCACACAAGTAACCCGGGTGTCTGACACGTTACTTAGGTTTTTAATCCGCGCTGAGACAATCTCACAGAGACCCTACTTCACCTCTCAGTAACTTGCATTTCTCAGCTCTGCTGTGTGTGTGTGTATGTGTGTGTGTGTGCGCGCGCGCGCGCCGGCGTGTGCCGTGTTGGGGGAGTGTGATGTGGGGGAATCAGTTAATTTGGTGATTGCAATGAAAATTCGACACCGCTAGATGTATTTTCCCTGCCAATCTGTGTGTGCTGGCCCCGGCCGGTCAATGCACACACTGCTGGGCTGCTGCGAAATTATTTATTATAGAGCATGTGGGCCATGGACTGCACTTGGGGTCGCCTCCTCTCTTCCTTCAACATTTCCCTGTGAATTGTCTATTCAGTGCAGTGCGAAATAACTGTTTGCTGGTGCCTCTCTCTCAGCCTGGAGGAGGATTTACTCTTTCTCTACCCGGAGAGATTCCATCAGCAGCATTCAGGCATGAGTCTCTTTTATTGAGTATGTAAACCAATGATTAAGACAGTGCTGCTTTTCACAGCAGACTGGGGAGCGGGGGGTGCGGGGAAGGGGTGTGAGTATAGCCGAGAAAATGCACCACTGCAACCAGCAGCAACACCAGCATTAGGTCCAATAAATAAATAAATAAATAAATAAAGGTTCTATACAGCAACCAGGGAAAGAGCACAAGTCCATCCATGTCTGTGGACTTAGGAGCATCTTAGATCAGGCCATATGAATACACTAAAAGAGATACGAGGATTTAAAAAAAAAAAAAAGAAAGAAAGAGGAGGGGGCACAAAGCACCACTGGATTGTCTTCTCATGTTTATGGCTGCCTCACATTTATTCATCAAACACTGCTCCACAGACACATCATAGTTTGTTGATATTGTCAGTTTTTGCTCAAATTGCTCATGCCTTCCTTGTCTTAGGCTTGGCTGAGAACATTGTTTCGGGGTTCAGATTTATGTTTCTTCCCCTACCCTACTGTTTTATTAGGACTTGGTTAGGTTGTAAAATGAAGGCTTTATTTTCTGGACATAGATTAAATACTTAGCGGGTCTTTCTATGTGCGGGGAGAAAAGGGTGGCGGGGGAACTAGTGAGCGACTGATTTTGGCTAGAGGGAGTCTGCCCTGCCTGCTAGTAGTTATGACTAGGCAAATACTATAGTCAGTCATTAGCTTCTTTTTTTTAGCTTTATCAGCACTATAGTGATATTCACTTAAGTAATACTAATCAGTTTATTTATCCCATGTATTACTATTCTCTTTCTTTCAGTATCATTATTAAAGACAAGAAGACTCATTTGAACATATCTTCTCCATGTTTCTGTGTTTTAACTGACTGTATTTTATATTATCACCTATATTTTTTACCTTTTTTCTGGGAAGCAAAATCAATTTTCTGGCTTGTTAATATGTGGAGTGATAAGCCAGTGGTGAGAATCTAGTCAATGATAAAATGAGTTTTTTTTAAAAGGCTTACTTAATTCTATAACATCTGCCAGTTTGTCCTCATCCTCATCGTGTCTTTAGGAAATGAATAATAGATAGGGAATAAACATATGCTTTTGGCTAAACATTTGTTTGGCCAAAGTATAACTTGGAATGTAGGCTACTTAAATAGCAAAATTTCATTTGGTGTTCAGTTACAATGTGTCTTTTCTTATTTTCCCTCATCATAGAAAGAGGAAAATCTGGAGTAAGCGCAAGGGACACATTACAGAAATGAATTTCTTTGCAAGGAAAGCTTGCCACCTGTAACTAAGTCCTCTCTTGGCTATACAGTAGATCCAGTTCAATTGCTAACCCTTGCTGAAACCTTATGCCTTTCCATGCCTGAGGGGGCACTGCAAAGATGGAGAGAATGCCCTGGGTAGCACAGGAAACAATTCTGGAAAGGGCAAAAAAGAAACAAGGGCAAAATATAACAAGAAATAATCATGCATACATGCATACAAGACCTCATTTTGTTGAGAACTGTGTTTACTTTTTGGAATTAGTCGTATAAAAAAGCACCTCCAAGACAGATACTGGGGCTTTAGGTTTTTTTGTTTGTTTGTTTGTTTGTTTTTTGCCGTGGTATATTCTGGTAAATTATTTGTTACATTTAGTAAAAATATAACACAAGCACAATTTAATTTGAATATACATTCAAATTAAATCTCATTGGACGTACATAATACTTGCCTCAGTATCTGTCATGAACCTCACCTTACATTTTTAGAAAGCACATTATAATACATCTTATATACACTTAATGAAATACTTACGCTTCCTAAAAGCATATCTTTCCAACTATTTTACCTTTACATGTGTTAACTTTAGTCTTGGCAAGCTCATTTCTTATGCCAAATGCAGTTCTTGAAATACAGTTTTCTCACTCCCTTTTTTGATTAACATAAACTTTGGAAAGTGGAGCCTATATACTTAAATGCAATAACTGTGGCTTAAATAGTCAAACATCAGACAATTGGTAATTAAGAAAATCTTTGCAAATATAAGGAGTTTCTAGACTAGTTTTATATCAAGATGTGGAAGCTTACTTCATTGTCTTTTTCCCATTTCTATAACTATTAGAACTCTGGGAACATAACATGACAAAGCTAAGTATCAACTGAGATGATCTGTTCTTGTGTCCTTCATTAGAAGATAAGACATTTGAAAACTATTTGTCACACAATTAAATAGTGGTAGAATGTCATTTTTCTTAAAGAAAAAAATACTTAAATCACTTAAAGAGCAAAATGGAAGTGCAAAAATGTTGGAAGACATCCTAAGCATGCATTTGAAAGTGGCCTGGAATCAACACCAAATGACATGAATTTTCTCCTTAAGTAGTCTGTGGTATATCAATGATTGAGACAAGTAAGCCTTATTTACTATGAAGGATTTGGGGGTACATTAATAATCAAATATAGACCTAATGTCATATGGATGTTTTATTTGATCTTGCTGACAAGTGCTCTATGATATTTATTGAGAAATAATCCTCATTTTATTAGACTGTATTAAACCCATTGGCTAAGTCACCTATTCTGTAGCAGCTAGCTGAATAGATTGAGGAAGTAGAGAGAAGGAAAATCACAAACCAAGGAGGCCGACTCAAAACTGAAGTCAAAAGCCCTTTGTTGAATTGGCAGATATTGGTCTGATTTACTCTCTTAAAATAGTTCTAGTGCCCAACAATTATTATACTTAAGCTTCCTGAGGGCAAGCTCTGAGCCTCACATAGCTATGCAATTTTCTTATCCTCATTTTAGTAGATGCATAAACAGTCATGTTGGATTGAATAATATATATGTCCTAATTACTTGTGATGGGATTAAATGATCTCTTCTTTTCATAATATGAAAGCACTCATACTTTGTCAAGTCACATAAGAGTTAATTTTGACATTTTGTAAGCTATATTGGTTTATGAAAGTTATCCTAAAGTATCACATAAATAGTTCTTAATATACATCTTTAAGTGAATTCAATCTGATCAGTCATTTTTAACATTTTTCCTACCATTTTTTTCTTTTCCTTGATTAAAAACCCCAGATACTTTACATTAGATTAGATCATAAACTAATTTCATAAAAAATGAAGGACACAATTTAAATTTACTGATTTAACCTAAAATATTTAAAAGGACACGTTCATTGCCAACATTTTATTTGAAAATGTCAAGCATTTTTGGAGTGCAATTCTGTTGTATCAAGAAAGGCATCTTCTGCAAATTCCTTGTGTAAAGAGGTGGGTGAGGATTAACCTAGAGCTGTGGCAGCTGAAGCCCCCTGCTGTGTGATGATGCAAATGGCATCTCAGGCCTAATGTGCTCTGCAGAGGCCACAAACTCACAGGAAAGCAGTCATGTGGCATGAGAGTGAAATGGGAAGTCTTTTTCATAGCTTGTAGTGGACATAAAACATCCTTTAGCTTTTTATAACCAGAAATGATCCAGAGTATTTGTAATCACATGAGGTTATGACAAAGCAAAAGAGAGAACATATATTTTGTTTAGAGATGAATAAAATCCTACTAAAACTATCAACATTTTCATCCAATGAATGGTGAACATTTAATTTTCTTCCAAACTATCGGGAACATAGGTCAGTTTAATGAAGATGAATAGCAAAATTAAAATAGGATTTCCATGCTATTTTTTACGTGTGTTGGACTTAATAACTGTTGGGCTGGGAAGCATTCTGTTATCCAGTTCTTCCTTCAGTGAGTAAGGAGTTAGTCCTTTAATCTCATTCTTATTAGAGCATTTCCTGTACTATGAAAATATAGCAGTTTCTTTACAAAATAGGAGTTAACTGTTCAGTGTCTCTTCAGTTTATTTAGTGTTGTCAAGTATAATTTGTGTTATGTCACATCAATAGAGAATGTTTCCTATCTGCACAATATTATTTATCACATAGGCAAAGTCATCTGATATGTTCTCTAAAAATGTAAGAGTTATAAACCCACTGTTATAGCATTAAACCCTATCAGATAAAAGGAACTAACGTAGCTTTGTATATTTTGATTCCATTTGCCACAGAACAAAAAACTGAACATGTTATACATACTGATTTTTACTAAGTAGTGAGCCCAGTTGGTCCTGTTAATGTGTTCAGTGGATTTCCTTAAGCATATACGAAACCGTTTTCATCTTAGAAGCATGCAGCCTATTTAAAAATTAGTGAAGTAAATATTCTGCTTAAGTAGGGATCAGTTAAATATTAATGTCAAAATCAGAGATGTAATTATTGAGTATGGAAATATTCCACAGTCACTTATTTATATATATGCACATATATACACATTTAAGTATGTCATTATTTTTAAGACTGAAGAACATCTTTATTAATTTTGTAATTAGAGTTTAGGGCTTTCAGGGATGTATAATAGAATGATGGAAAAGTTAAGAGTTTGTTTTGTTTTTACTCATTGTGTTCTTTTACTCTTTCAATTAAGGTTAAGAATTTTATTTTTTTTTAAAGTAAATTTTCTCAGGCTGCAACAACGATTAACAAGACTTCCACAAAAAAACACACACACAAGTCTTACAATTTATGAAATAACAATAGGGTTGAGTATTCTGCATCTATCTTTGTGCTTATGAAACTGAGTGATAAGAACTTGTTACTACTTGAATAGATACAGAGCTAAGTTAGTAAGATCTGCCATAGAGAGAGGGGGCCATTAACTATTCACATTATATTTTAGAGGTCTTTGAAGTAAATATTAACACAGTCATTGTTCAATTTTGGAAACAACTCTTTCTGAGTCAGCAAATCATTTTCACTTGAATATTTAAATTATCTTTCAGCCATTTCATTGTTGAAGAGGAAGTCCCTGTCTAGTCATAGTTAAGGAGTTTTTCCAGGGGTTAAATACTGATGTCATTAGGCATTGCTTAGAAAATAAAAATAAGCATACTTTTGCTTTCAGAAAAAAAAATCTCAAAGCTAAATGTGATCAAATAGTGCAAATAATTTCACATTATAAGAAAACAAAGTCCTTTAAAAAGTCAAATTGAGTTTCTAAAAATTTTATATATTTTATGATGGTTAATTTACAGTAAGGATACATTGCTTATCTAAAGTTGTCCTTGAGAACAGAATGAGAACATACCTTTCCTGACAAAGATATGCTGCCGACTGCTAAGTGTATAGCTGTTATATTGATTTGCTATAATTTATAAAGCCAATTAATTTATTATTGTAAGGAAATATTTTTACCTTTAGGCTAAAATTGTTTGTATTCTAAAATGCAGGTGCCTTCCATAATGCTTATTTAAACATCAAGGCCTAAAATTTATAGTGTGTAAAAAAAGTCCTAATTTTCTTAATAAATTCATATTTTATATTAACTTCTCCTGTATCCCCCATGGGGGAAAGTGTCCATGACATTCATAACTTCCGTTCATTCTGATACCTTTTACATCTCTTGTTTTTCAATCTGGAGTTGTAGGCTTAAGTTTAAATGAGAAATAATGTATTATGAATTAGAATATTTATATGTAAAAGCAAAGAAAAATATATAGTAAGCTTTTTATTTAATTGCCATTTCTTTACTGCTCTCTATTTTATGTGCTGAAGTCCGAATAGTAACTCGGCTTCCTTTATACTCTCCAGGAATATAATATCCCTCCCATTCCCTGCCCATGCTACTGACTTGAAAGATCCATTAAAATAAATTAATGGGGAATGAAGAATAAAGAAGTGTTTTGCTAAAGGATATGTACAGAATATGTACAGATTGGGTGTTTTTCCTTTCAACCCCCAAGGAGCACACCCCAGCGTTTTAGCAAGGATAAAACATGTGCAATGTGTATTGACTTGTTTTTGTTATTGTTACTATTGCATTTTTTTGAAAGCTCCATTCCGTAATCTCTTAATAAAAATGGCAAAAAGAAGGGGAAAGGAATGTGAGTCAGCCAGCCAAACACACAGAGAAAGGCCTGGCAAAGCTGCCTAAATTAGCATATGCTAGGCTGAGTATTTCCCTCTGTTGTTACATAATCCCTTTCTAATACGAAATCAGTTCTCATACTTAACCCTTTCAGGAGGTTTGGAATTCTCCCACTGTTATATTTTTATTTTGCTTCATTTATTTTCTCATGAATTGTGTAAATCATCTATTCAAGGGCTTTTATGTCAAGTTCTTTTTTTCCCTCTCCAGCCCTTCTGTATACAAATGTTCCATTCTGTGTCCAACTTCAGGATTCAAGAATCAACTTTTCTATAGCTTCCACTGAGAGGATCTAATTAGCATTTTAGTCTCCCTTTACTCATGTGCAGCTTTCTTTAGAAAATGTATTAGTTCTACGAGGTTCCCCTAAGGATTCATAATACTCTAGTTTGTTACATGTTCTGTGATATTCAATGTGCCTTAATTATGCACGTGTCCTCATTTCAAAGCCTTTTCAGGGATCATGTGGGATAGAACAGGGGTCTGGCTGTAAGTTCACTGTCATGTATTAATGTGTAGGTGGTATTCAGAGAAGGATGTTTCTGAAGGCAATTATATATCTATGACTCCAATATAGCAAGCAGTTACTCACATTCTGCACTTACTAGTTATCCTGCCAAGGCAGAATTAAATTCACCATTGTGATACATAATACAGTATCTGTTATTTCTAAATAACAGATACTGCTCTAGGATTGAAATAAAATAATGAGTGAAAATGTGTATCCCCTACCCTGAATAGGGATTGTTCCTTTCACTTTCCCAAACAAAAAGAAGAATCAGAAATTGTTCCTAAGTCAATACTCTATTCCTTAACTAGCCCATTAACACATCTTGCTATGGTGGGATCTTGAAGTTTTGCTGGTTTTTATGTGAGGCTGTAGATATTTAAGCAGTATTAATTGCCTGCAATCTTTATGGACTGCCAAATATCAGTGCATTGCCAAATTTGAGACATTTTATTTTCGGGTTTTAATTTGGATGCAATTTGAATACTGGTGGAAGTATAGAGAGACGCTGAACTCAACAGAGAGAGACAGACATCTTTTTCTTAAAGAGACTTCAATTGTGGAGAGATTGCTATAAGAATTGGCTTGTTTTGTATGTGTTATCACTTAACAAGGGGGATACTTTCTTATATTACATGAGTATGAGAGTGCATTTGTCTTAATTGTACCCTTTGACTTACATGTCTTCCTCTGTGTCTTATGTCATAAGAAAATGGTGGTTTAATTTGTAACTGCAACTTGTGTCTTTTATTCTTTTATTTATGCTTATGGCAATAAAAAGCGTTTTATAAGCTGATATAATAAATATGTTTTGACAATTTTTGTTTGATTATTTTACACAATAGCATAATTTTTGAAGCTATAGTTTTAGTTTTAGTAGACAAAAGAATGCCATCTGCCCTCTATTGATTATTTTAAGCATTTATGTGTTCTTATTTCATGAGAGAACTGAGCATTTGATTTTGTCTATTCTGTGATCTATATAAAACTTCGTATATTATTATTATAGTATTTTGACTAATCGAATGTCTGGTCTATCTTTTTTTTTAATGTTTTCATTCCACTGATTGATTAGTTTTCTTCTAAAAGATTTAATCTTGACACAACTCTTTAATTGGATCTAGATAATATTTAAGTATTTACATTATAACTGCCAAAATGCCAATACAGTACTCCAAATAGAATAAATATTTGCAGTGACTTTTCATTTATATGTAATACACAGGAAGAAGACAGAAATGCACCCCAAGAAACAAAAATAATACTAAATAATGGTGTACTTAACAAAAATATGAATTAATTGCTTTCAGTCAGGGTAGTCAATTCAAATTTGCACTGTAAACATTTATTTGAATCTTCCCGATATCTTTGGGTATTTAACCCCTTATCTTTAATCTACTTTCTAAAGATTTTATTTCTAGCTTCAAAAATATTCCTGATGATGACTTTGGTTAAACGTGAAGCCACATTATCTTCTTGTTCTACTTTGAGTAGCTGGCATTTCCGGATAAATGTATAAACAAAGAGGAATTACAAGCTGACCTTGATCCACCAGATTATGTGTGGACTGACCTGCTTTTTTTTTTTTTTTTTTTTTTTACTGCCAAGCTAGAGAGTAGAGGTTCTCTGATTAGTCCCTGAAGTGAAGATTCAGGGTGCATTCTTCTCAGTTAACTGGAAGAGATTCTGTCAGTATTATTTAAAAGGCCCTTTAAAAATTCTAAATGTTAGTCTATTTGTGTTTTTAATGTTTAGTTATTTATACTTATGCAGTTGATGACACATATATGCTGTGATTGAATTTGATTTTTTTTTTTTGCATTTGAAAGATAGAGGTAGGATGGAAATATTATCTGCCTTTTAAAGAAAATATAAGTACAGTTACTGGAAACTCGAAACCAAGGGAGAAAAGACTCTACAATTTGTAGTGACTATATTTTCACATAAAGTGTTTTAAGAATACTTTTTCTAAAAAGTCCCAGTGAAATGCGACTTTTCTTAAAAGTCAAGTTTTTCTTCACATTTTAAAAATCAATTTCCCTGATGTCTTGTGGATTTTTGACTGTTTCATGACTCTTAGCATTTGAAAAGATATTATTAACTAGACTAGCTTAAGATTTACCTGAATGCCAGGTGCGGAAATCACTCTGTCATCCTCATAGAGAAATATATATTCTGTAAATAAATGTCAAATGAAGATAAACTAGCAAAATTTATTAAGGATTCTTGCCGCTTTATACAGTTGGTATTAAGAATTATATTCTCTCATAGCTTCTATTAGCACCTAGTCTTGCTTTATGTTAAACCATGTCTGTATGATGCTACAGTTGCAGAATAAACCTTCTCTAACATGGCTTCTGTTTGGCCCCTGCTCATCAACTTTTCAGAGACTAGTGAATTAAAGGGAAGGTAGTTTTTGTTGCAATTTTTGTTGGAGGCAATTTTTGTTGACTATTTCACTGTTTCAGTGAAACATTTTAATATGTTACTGAATTTATTCATTATATTGAGGATATTCCTGTAACCTATGGTTAAATATGACATATTTTAATTTTTTTGTGTGTAGCCACATAATATCTGAAATTGGAACTGTGAGGAAAAGCTATACCTTCATATTTTCAAGACTTTTAGTCGTAATGATTCACTTAAAATTGAATTTCAGTTTGTTATAAGAAAGAAACACCTTTACCTGTTACTTTACATGCAAAAGCATTTCAGACCAACATTCTTGTCCAGAGGCACAAAATTAAAAACAATATCCATAATATTTAGCAAACAAATATTACACTAAAAGTACTGATTTTATAGAAAGACTGTTGCACAAAAAGTATTGATTTTACGGAAAGATTTCATGATAAGTAACATGAAAAAGAAGTTGTATGTTCAATAACATTTACAAACATATTTTTAAAAATCAAGTAAAATTTATACAGGATAGTTTCATGTTCATTGGCTTGCTTTTTTATCAACATAGAAATGCTAGGGATGAGGTAAAACTAATGGTGTTACCATTTAGTAACTCCATTTCTCCATATCATTTCATTTCCATGAAATTTACAATGCTATAATAAAAGTATTCTAGAGAGATAAGAACTGCATAGTATTATAGAGGTCTGGTGGAAGTCACTAATTTATTTTAAACTTTATCTCGCTTTACCCAATTTTATTGACTGTGCAAGTATAGACTATCAACAAAGCAGAACATATTATCCCTGAAAGATACAACAGCATAAGAGTACATGTTTTAATAAAACAAATATGCTTGATGGGTATGGACAGACTGGGGAGATTAATATTTCTTATCATTTAATGATGGACTAACTATAAGGTAAAAGTAAATTCGATCAGGCATTAGGGATATTTTCTCCCAGGAAATTCTCATCACCTAGCCATACCATGATGGAGTATAGAGGTGGATTGGTAATAGAGGAATGAAGTGGAACACAAGCAGCAGACATGGTCAAATTGTGGTTCGTGTGGAAGTGGTAGTGAGATTGGTCTGGTGCAGGTCTTTTATTTTGTAGTGAGGGTTCTTTATGCTGTAAAGGGAGGAGCTATCAATGGACTAATTAAAACTTTGATTTTGGAAGTGCCTTACAGCAGTAAGACATGATGGTAGGAAGCAAGAGACCTAAGTTCTCAGGCAAGCCGTGTCACGGTCTCACTGGCCTTGAGCAAGTTACTTCTCTTGTAGCTTAGTTTTTTCAGCTGTAGACTGAGTGGTTGGAACCACATTCATTCTTTGGTGATGTATTGTAGAAGGAACTTATGGATGATTGCAAACTGCAGAGATGGCATTTTTCTTTTTCCTTTCCACCTAAAGATGTTTTATAACATAGTATAACATTAACTGCATGCTCTTAAAATAGCATTTCCTAAAATTTAACTTTTTATATCCATCTATGCATTGTTTAGTGCTTAAGGATTTTACATATGTAAACAGATTTTTTATTGTGATATATGTGCCTCTGTAAATTTCAGAGCTTTTCTTTCTCTGTCAATGAAGTTTATAAATTAATTTTGTAGCCATTGGCCTGAGTTTGAGCCATACATACTTTTCTCACAAAATCACATCCATAGATCAATTCTATAAATTAGGAAATTGATTCCTTTGTCATTTTTATTATTAGGAAGTGGACTGGATAAGGTTTTTCAATTTTGAGTTTGATTTCATATTTCTGTGCATTTCATGTACATTAAAAATTTTCTGTGGTCATTTTATTCTTCATAGCCTTTGGTTTTCTGAAGCATAACTTATTCATTCGTTGATTCATTTATCAACAAATACCTATTTGAAGGCAGTGTTGTAAAATGCTGGATGTATAAATGAACAAGATGGAAAGAGTCTCTGCCCTTATGGAGTTTACAGTCTAGTGTTGGCCACATAATAAACAAATCAAAATACATAATTCCTTTCTTAGTTTCTATCTTTCTTTCTTTCTTTTATTACTATTATTATTTTTTGAATCAGAGTCTTGCTCTGTCGCCCAGGCTAGAGTGCAGTGGCATGATCCTGCCTCACTGCAACTTCCGCCTCCCAGGTTCAAGCAATTCCATGCCTTAGCCTCCCATGTAGCTGAGACTACAGGCACGTGCCACCACGCCGGCTAAATTTTCTATTTTTAGTAGAGACAGCATTTCTTCATGTTGATGATGCTGGTCTCGAACTCCTGGCCTCAGGTGATCCGCCAACCTCGGCCTCCCAAAGTGCTGGGATTACAGGCATGAGCCACTGTGCCCAGCCTGTAATGCCTTTCTGAATCAAAATTAGACATTTTATTTTTATAGTAATATCTTTCAACAGCAACAGAATGCAGATATATCAATGAGGATGTGAAATCACTGCTTTACAACAATGCTGTAAACCTCACTGGGCTTTTAACATTTTTTTTTTAAATTTAAGGTTAAAGAGCTCTCATTTCCTCCAGTCGTTTATCCTGAAAACGTTCTCAGTATGATGCCAGTTTCTTTATTTTTATTATTGTTAATACAACTTGAAAGAACCTGACAGGTGAAAAAGAAATATTCAAGAATGCTCTATTCTAACTGATTTGTTCGAGAGGATGATTCATTTAATTTCATAAAGACTCAGTGGTCCAGAACAGTGGGTGACCAGGTCAGCAGAGGGAATGTAGGGGAGAAGAGGTCTGTGAGAAGGAACTATGTAACAAGCAACAATATTTAGTTTTTTTAGACCTAGAGTTCTGCTTGAGCAATTCTGATGTTACCAGCAACATTCATTCAAAGAGCCGCTGATGCCTCAGGGAAAACATTTTTAAAGTGTCCTATCTAGAAACAATGCTCCTTACACTGTGTCATATATATTAAAACTCCCGCCTTGCTTATATTACAATACATCATGCTTGGTTAAAACCTATACTAACATAATTTGGCTTTTTGAAAGTGTCAGTTAAATGTTGTTCCTTAAACTTTTATTCAATATGTTTGAAATATTAACCACCTGGTCAACAAAGCTGAAGAATACATGGGGATACCATTTAAGAAGTTTAAAAATAAAATGAATTTTTATACAATTATTTAAAACATTGGAGAGAAACACACATCATATGAACAGGCTACAAATATTCTTGGCATCATATTTTACTTCCTTTAATATTTAACTTTGATGATCCCAAGATGGGAATGATACCACATTTCTAACAGATTGTATGGTATTTTTGAATATTACTATTTATTGGCTAGTGATATCTCTGGAATGGATGATATACATGTTAAAATAGACAAGCGAACTCTGTAATTATATGTATATATATATATATACTTTGGAAATCATAATGATGGTGGTCTAGCATTTATAATAGTTCAGTTTAGGGACTTACTTATTTGGATTATACACAGTAATATAATCCACAGTTAGAAAAACCTGTGCTTACCCATTAACTTTAATTTTACTTTCTTTTGGTTTTAAAAGAAACTTTAATTCAAGTAAATGCAGTCTTGCAGGTGATAAATGGCTAGAGTATAGTTTTATATTAAATGATTTATTTTGAAATATATTAAGTTTTCCTAAGTCAGAGATGCATACATGTTTGGAAACTTTTATAAAGGGAACTAGGTGGTGCTGTTCTGTCATCTTTGTGTCTTAGTGACTTCTTTGGTCCTGTTCTGTTCATTAAATACTCTCATACAAGAAGTGCATTAAGTAAGGCATAGCTTTGGTTTCCTAGTGGTATTATGTTTTACTAACCAACTAAGTTTATATTGATTTTGTATCATTGTTTTCAGCAGTATTTTTGTACAGTAGATAAAAACCTTCCTAAGAAGCAAGATATATCACACTTTATTACTTACCTCATTTCTGTAACATTTAAGATAATATATTACATTCTGATATCTTCAAATTTTTTATTATGTTTTTTAAAACCTCATAGTTGGCTTTTTATTTACCAAATCTTTGATTATTATTAGAGTCAGAAGTTAAAATGATAACATTTTTGTACAGTTTGGGTTGATTTAGTGTAAAATGCTGCAAATATGTGATCTCAAGAAAAAGCATTTATTTCTAACCATTATTTGAAATATTACTAATTGCATTAAGTTTTTAAACAAAAGAAAAGAGAAAGCTTTCTCTTGAAAGGAAATTTTGTTTGCCTAATTTACCTCCCTTTCAAGAAAAGTGACCTCAATTAGGCTGTCTGTTAATCTTTTCAAGTTTCAAGATGTTATTAAGATAATTGTGCCTTCCCATAATCTTGGTGCTACCTGATAGTCAAAAATAAAACAGTTATTTAAAACAAAATAAGTAAACAACAAACAAACAAAGTTATTTCACTCTCCATCTATATTTAGTACACTGGTATCTCTGTGGTATATTTTATTGGTAATAATTATAGCTTCTTTCAGATACCTTTACATTTTGGAAAGGCAAATAAGAGAAAACTTATAAGGGATTGCATTTTTTTTCATCAAAAATCATCCGGTGTACTGTATAAGCAATTGTAAGTTACGTTTCTTAAGGATTTTGTAATGCCATCTCTGAAGCATATATTATATATTTTCTAATGAAAACCCGGATATAAAGTAATGAAGTTACTCTAAGAGTTTTAACCAAATACCTCCTTGTAGAATTGTAATTTTGCATACCTATCATTTTGAGTGGGGAAAGGTAATTTATATCCTTTATTTCTCACATAATAAATCCCCCTTGCTGCTACTTAGATCATAAAAACTTTAAGTTTTACCCTAATAGGAAACTCAACATTATAGAGAAAACTCTTTGTGTTTTCTGTTATTTTGCAAGTCTTTTATCTGTGGAAGACAGAATCAATACAGAATTTCAAAATGCTTCCACAGGATGTCATCTTACAATGTAGAGAGATAATCTCTGAGATGAACATCTTCTAAACTAATAAGCATAAGTGAATGCACTGCTAGACCTCTGTGCTCTTGTCTGGCCTCCCCAAACAAAATGAAAATCAAAAGTATTATAAGAGTTTAGAATGGGGGCTCTGCTTAAAAGAACTGGGATTGTTTATTCACAAGGATGCCTTCATTTTCTATTGAATGAAAGTTTTCCTAAGGAGAATTGGGTAATTCCCATTTTATACCACCATAACCTTAAATTATGAAGAAACCTAATGGTAAATAGATAAAATATTTAAGATTATATAAAAAGTATGTCTTGGGGAGTAATTATTTGTATTATAATACTTTCTAGCTTTTAGTTACTGTGTTATGGGAATAAAGTGTGAACCAGATAAAGAAATTATGAAAGGTATTTGTGAATTTGTCATATCTACATGTTCAGAAACCATTCCGTGTTTGATTCACTTTTTGAAAGTTGACATTTTGGTAGAGATACCAACAAGAAAGTAGAAAGTATTTAAATTTAAAATATTTGATACTATATTTATATTATAGAAAGTTAAATAAGACTATCAGACCAATACCTATTTTTCAAATATGTCATACTTTAAATAAATTAAATAAAGCATAGTATTTAGTGAAAAATCCATCATAAACCAATATATTTCAAAAGTATTTTTCCTTCAAAAATATAGAAATATAGAAATCTATTGGTTATTTTATTAAGTATCAGAAATACAATAAAAACCACTTATATTTGGTGATAATCTGGTGATTACTTGTCTTAGAAGTAAAGTTAGACACTAAACACATCTCTTCCAGTATGTTTCTCCTTGGATTGAGGCTCTACAGTTCATACCGAAATGCTCTATACATTTTTATAATATCCTTTGGTCATTATTTCTTTGATAATTTTTATCCAAATAAGAAGAGGCTTTCTTAATAATTATCTTTGATGAAAATTAATCCTAGGCAATGTAGCATAGCCACTGACTATTAGTAATCAATGGCTGCAAACAGATTACTCTGGCATATCATCTTATCTTTTCAAATGCACCCTTGGAAACTTCTGTAGAAGACTTTTTTCATCTTGCCACATTTTATCAATCATCATAGATTTATATCTCACAGATCTAAAGGTGTTTTTTACTGTAAAAGATAGACTAAATAACAACAAATTCACCATGAGCAAAGACAACAGTAAGTAAGGGATTTCTGGATTTCTTTTGAAATCAGAGTCAGATAGCAGAATAGGTGAAAATGCCAGAAAAGAGACTATGCTGGTCAAGAGAATAAAAGCAATAGGATAATAAAAATGATGGATATAGATCTTTAGCGCCTTTAAGTATATATTTCTTTATTATACTGAAAGAAATCAGAATCTCCAATGAAGAATTGATACAGATTTATAGCTGATATCAGCAAATCAAGGTTTGATGGACCCAGTGGGTACTGACATCATTGCACATGGTGAAAGAGATTTACATATAACTAGATAAGAACTTAGGATGATATTTGGTGCAGCATGTCCAGCACCTGATTTCTTGGAAGAGCACTGATAATGAAGAAGCCTAACACAATTAGGAGGTAGGTCTAAATGATAAGCACATATGACCAGAAATAAAACGATAATCTTTGGGGAATCTATCTTACCACAAACTTAATATATTCTCACATACAACTTAAACTGAGAAGTTTCTAGTTGACTTTGTGAAAAGATACATTTTTTTCTTAAAATTAATACTTGAGTCTGTCTATGTTGGCATTAATATGAGTGGAGGTGATGGGATGCAATAATTAGGACATGCTTTTGTTTTGTAGGTGAATCTCAGATACTCCTCTTATTATAGCTTTGCAGTTTACAAATTTTCAGATTTTCAAAAGTATTTTATTATTGGCTACATATGTTCAGATATAAAACTGGAAGAATACCACAACAGAATAGTTCTTAAAAACAGAGAGCAATGGTTTCATCGTTGATTTGTTTTCATGCAATATTGACGTCAACGGAAAACAACACTTAACAAAAGCAGTGTCTACGTTTAATTCCTAAGGTGTCAATCAGCAGGTGTTTCAAAGGGAACATTGCTTGCTTTAAACTAAGATCTTTAAATTTGGGGAAAACCTGACATTCTGGGGGAACCGTATTCCTTATGCAAAAGTTTAAAAATAAAGACTTTTGAAGGAGAATAAAGGCATTTGCAAAAAGTTTGTCTTCTCCTTTCACATAAACATACAAAATACATAGAGTAAATTAGAGATGGCAAATTTTTAGAAATGATAAAGGTGTATTTGCTCATCTAAACATTAAGAAATTAATATAAATGTGCTAATAATCTAAAGTACTTCCTTGACATTATTTAAAATATTTGTGTCACTATCAGGAATTATGTATTTCTTTCTTGTTAACGTGTATGTTTTCTGTCTTTTCTTTACTAGTTGATAAGCTCTGTGAATGCAGAGTTACCTTTTACTGTTTTAATCTTCCACTTCTAGAATATTTTCTGGCACACAGTTGTTCAATAAGTTTTTATTGCATGAGTAAATATAATTATCTTGTGTTATTTTTAAAGTAATATTCTTTACATTTTGAGCAGCTTCCTACAGTGAACAGAAACCAAATTAACACGTGTATTTAAAATGGACCTACTTAATATTAGTAATGATTGAGTTAAGCCCTTTCTCAGACACATCATTTTCCATATTTCACAATATATTATTTATTACTTGAAAAACATTTGTAATTGTGTTTATGTGTTTATGGCATAAGACTTAAAGCACAATACCAGTGTTCATTTAAAACAATAAAAGGGAAAATAGAGCGGAGGAATTTACTAGCTGAAATGCCGTAAGAAGACTTTTCTGAGTCTAAATGTATTTCCTGTTTTATTGCTTAACATTGCTAGGAGTTCAGCATGTGTGTTCTTTTTTATCAGAAATTTTAAGTCATGGAATTATAACTGAATTATATGAAAACAATAAAACCAAACATCATAATAGGCCATAGGGGAAATTTTACATAAGAAATATGTTTTAGCAAAATTGGATGTAACTTTAAAAATCACTTCTGTGGCACTTTAGATTTAAACATGATCTCATTTCAACCCTATTTAAATCTTATTTCAGAGGAAGCATTGTGTAAATGGAAAGTACAAAAGATAGGGCATCGAGAATTAAAGTTCTGATTGTGGCTGTGCCATTGGCTCCCCCCATCACCCGGGGAAACAGCTCATCTCTCTAGAGGTCAGTTACTCAGAGGGTGTTAGGCTTGGATCATCTCCAAGGTCCCTTTTCAACTTGAAGACTGACTCCAATTCAGCAGCTAAAATTAAATAAATGGATATGCTTTGCAAAGGTTAGAATATGATTATGTCTTTGTCATTAGATGAAAAAGTTTTAATCTGACAAAAGTGTTATATAATGATGAAATTTATCACTAGTGGTGTTTGTAAACTTCTACTGATGCACAATTCTTTCATGTGCTTTAAAAATAGGTTTGCTGCTTGTAAAATGGAGGAAACGTGTATATTTATTAATGTGTATATTTATATATTGGCATACTTACTGATATCTAAGTATATAAATCAATAAATCTTATTGTTACATGATTCCATTTGTTTAAAAAATGTGTGTGCCTGTGTACATACTTCATTGCATTTCTGACTTTTTACATTATTCTCTATAAATAGAGGATAACTAGAGTTATTGAGTAACTAGAAGAGGTATCTTTGAAGAAATACTCAATTTTGTAAAACACTTCTTCTAAGAAAAATCTTAAATTATTAAAAACTGTCGGCCTTAAGGGGGAGAGAAATAGATGATTCCAGGAATAAACTTCAATAAATGAAGATGATTTTACACTAAGTATTATAAACTGTTTTTTTTATATCCATAGAGACTAAAAAAAAAAGGTGTTCTTCAACTACTCTAAGAGTCCTTTAGATTTTTATTAAGAAATAATTTCCAGGCAGGACTCCTAGGCTATAAAATTAAACGTGGTGAAATGCTTTTTTTGATGTCTAAAAGGATAGATTAATTTTTCCATCTTTCTTGGAATAATTAAAAGTGTGCTGTCTTCAAGATAAAGTAAGAGAACTGAAGGACTTCAAATCACGAGATAGAAAACGTCATGAAACCAGTTTGCACATGTAACTAATCCAAAATTTCACTTTTATTAAATAGAATTTGTGTTAAGAAAGCCAAATACCTATTATTTCCTTTGTAAGTATGTCATTCAATAAAGGTTTTATTGATTAATTTAGAGTGGATTTCATAATAACCTTGATCATAATCATACAAAGAGTTAAATTCCCCTCATTATGGAGCAAAGCTAATGCATAGTGTTTATAGGCGTTCTAGAAGGTCAGTCCTCAGACTAATTCACCGACAGCCCCAGATGCCTGGCTTAGCTGCCAACACAGTTGCTTTCGAGTCTGCCAGAAAGTCAGCTGCAGCTGCAGAGAACATTCTTTTTTTCACCCTGCCCCTTGCTAAGCCTGTGGATTTTACAATTGCCATGGAAAGAACAGAATTAAAAAATGTGATTCAGGGTGATGATCACCTCACTTACCCTATTAATGGGTTTCAGAGTAATTTATTATGAACAGCAAAATATTAACAGATAGAAGAGTTTTTCCACATGCGCATGTTCTCAAGTAAACTATTTAGTCACATTTTGGAAACCAATCTTTCCAAAATGTGGTGAGATTGTCTTCCAGTTTCAAATTCTATCTTATTCATTTTTTAAATTCCTGGCAAGATAATAATAAGAAGAGCTACCGTTTTATGTTGTACTGTTATCTGCAATTGGAGGAATGTAACTTCAGGTTACTGGTACAGAGAGAGCTAAGATGGTGTGATTTTGAAATCTAACAGGCATGACCTGTGTTCTTTCTTTGCTGCGTGACTTTAAATAACTGATGCTACCTCTCTGAGCTTAAGGTGTTTCACCTTAGAAATGAGAATTGTGATATCCAGTTCAGAGGATATGGTGAGGGTTAATAAGTTAACATGGTAAAATGGCTCATATCAGATCTAAAATCTATGGAAACTCAATAAATTTTGGAGATACTGTGAGCAGAAACAAAATTGTTAGATCCAGAATTTATATTAGATCCTCAGAATCTTGGATGCACCACACTCAGTGGTATTTTGTAAAATATACTTGATTAGTAATATAGGAATTTTTTTTTATTATTATACTTTAAGTTTTAGGGTACATGTGCACATTGTGCAGGTTAGTTACATATGTATACATGTGCCATGCTGGTGCGCTGCATCCACTAACTCATCATCTAGCATTAGGTATATCTCCTAAAGCTATCCCTCCCCCCTCCCCCCACCCCACAACAGTCCCCAGAGTGTGATGTTCCCCTTCCTGTGTCCATGTGATCTCATTGTTCAATTCGCACCTATGAGTGAGAATATGTGGTGTTTGGTTTTTTGTTCTTGCGATAGTTTACTGAGAATGATGATTTTTAAAGGTAATCTAATGAGAAAGAATAGAAAATCCTGTTAATAATTACAGAACATTTAGAAAGGATATACCATAGTCTTCCATTTTAAAGTCTAAGTTTGTTTGGTCTAGGGTGCCAGAGAAAGGAGGGGCACAGAAGACAGAAAAGGGAGGAATCTGAATTGTACGTTACTATTTATAAATCTATACATGAGTATGGAGAGAGAAGTGGCCATAAAATCCTGAACAGCAATTCATGTTAAAGCTACATTACTTGAGTTTTGGATCCCCTATAGCTATAAAGACAACTTGAAGAACACTTCTGTATTTGAGTGTAGACAGCTTCTACTTGCCCACTTTTCCTTCCCTATCTTTCTTTCCTTTCCTCCTCTGCCTCTGTCCTTCCCTTCTTTCCTTTCTTCCTCCTTCCCTCCCTTCCCATTCTTTCTTCTTTAAATCAGAATATACTGCAAAGAGTCTTTCTCTTTGTTGGAAGTATTAAATATATTCCTGGAAAGAGTCATCTTATTTTGGTATAGATGGGTTTGAGAAACTAAATGAAATCAAATATCAACATCATAGCCAAAAATTGTGCCACTGAAGTGGGAACTGTTGCCAAAGTCTACGGGGTGATCATATTCTCTTGCTTTTCTAGTTTCAAGTATAATTACATTTTAGTGAAAAGCATTAATTTAGACAGCAAGAGAAACCCTGCTTATATTGTCATTTTAAGTGAGGTCCACAGAAAACAACTTTTAAACTGTGTCTTTTAAATAATCTAATCAAAATTTAAAATTGCCAGCCTGGTTCTTTGAGCTGACAAGCTATGCATACAATTGAGATACCAGGATTTGATATCTTCCCTCTCACATGACTTTTGAATAGTGTGGATTTGTTTGACCTTCTGATGTCACATTAGAAGGACACTTTCTCAGTGAGAAAATAATTCTTTTTACGGTTCATCTTTTCAAGGTGATAGAATATGTATATAGTCAAGTGTTTTTTGTAAATGAAATATTCATTTGTGTTTCTAGATGTAGACATAAAATGGACTCCAAATTTTAGTATTTCAAAATAAATATAAGCCTATAAATTAAAAGTAGTATTTTAAACAGGTAAAACAATTTTTATGATGATTTATGCAGATAGTCTATATCAACATAAACTAAATATCTGGATATAAGTCTAAAAACCTAAGATCAGTATTTCTACAAAGAAGGTACACTAATTACACGTTTAGGTTTTTATTGTTAATATTCATACACAATTTTCTTTACAATTTGAGCTGGAATTTTAAAAACAATACTAGTCTAGAGATATGAAACCAATAACAGACAATACAAAATTACTTTCCTAAAAATAAAATAGATTATTTAGCATGAAAAGTATATCAAGTACTAAAATATGAAATGGCAATATATTGTATTGACATATAGATTGAAAACTATAAAGCATATATATATATATATATATATATATATATATACATTTTTTGTTTTTTTAATTTTTTTTTTGAGACTTAGTCTTGCTCTATTGCCCAGGCTGGAGTGCAGTGATGTGATCTCAGCTCACTGCAACCTCCCCGTCCCTGGTTCAAGCGATTCTCCTGCACCAGCCTCCCATGTAGCTGGGACTACAGGCGTCCGCCACCATGCCCAGCTAATTTTTTTTGTATTTTTAGTAGAGATGGGGTTTCACCATGTTAGCCATGATGGTCTCAATCTCCTGACCACGTGATCTGCCCGCTTCAGCCTCCCAAAGTCCTGGGATTACAGGCCTGAGCCACTGCGCCCGGCCAAGAATATATATTTTTAAATGTTGTAACTTTAGTTAAACAGGCTATTTATGGAACCCCATTTAAAATGGTGTATTTATATTTTCATATATCCTATTTGAATATTAAAGGCTGGATATTTCATTTTGCAATGTATCATTTTTGTACTCTCACTAAAAGACCATTTAAAATAGATATAAAGTTTTTTTCATCTGTTTCTTATTTTTGCATGAAATATTTTGGACATCACATCTTTTAATCTGTAAGTGTTATGCTAAAAATAAATCCCAATAAAATCAGTTTGTTTTCTTCTCCTGGAGATTTCTTGTCTATATCTGTTTTTTTTTTTCATTGAAAATACAGATTTTATTATTCCCGTGTAGTAGTTTGGAATTTGACTATTATGCCTAGAATTCCAAAGCCAATTTTTAATAAAATAAATTTTATTATAAATACCACAGATACCTTTTAAGAGAGTGCTGATGAAATAATACCTGCATATTGCAGGGAAAGCTTTTTTCTGTTCAAAGTTCTTAGAGGTGTCAGAAATCATTGTCTACCTCCCTTTATTTCTGCCTGGAGCCAAGCGGGGAATTAGGAAACGAAGAGAAGTGCTCTATACACAATGGCCTTCAGTGAATATTATTGATGACTAGACACCTGCTAGGATGTAAAGGCATTTAATCCATATTATTTTCCCTTTTAACTTGTCAACTCAGACATGGCAGCCAGAAGAATTTTCTGTCAAACATCAGCTTTTGCATTGCATTACGATTTTTATTTTTCATTCTTGGAATTTCAATACACAACACAAGTGGGGCTTTAAATAATATATTTAGCTGCATGATGATGAACTGGAAAATATGTTATCTGAATATCAAAACATTCAGCAAGTGTGATATACATAGGTGGACATTATCAACTTCAAGAAATTGTTTTATAATAAAGATGCCCAGTATTTTAAATCACTTTCAGACTTTCTATTTTCACAAATGGCTTCTTCATTGTGATATATATATATATATACACACACACACACACACACACACACACACACTTATTTTAAAAGGCACAAACAAGAGCAAGAGAGTTAGTGCTAATTAATAAACTAAATCTAGATATCTACGCCTGAGCTGTTTCCCATGTTGCATCTCCTTATTTTGAACTGCCTCCCATATTTCTTCACCATAAGATGTGTAGGCACACAAAAGTGTAACATGTCCAAAGACTGAACTCATTAGCTTTTCCAGTCAGCTGCCTCTCTCCAGGCCTTCTGCATCTTTGCAATTCCCTAGTTCAGTTAATGCCCTCATAGCCACCTCAAGATTAAGCTAAAAAAAAAAAAAAAAAAAAAAAAAAAAACACTTGAGGCTGTCCTTAACCCCTCCATCTCCCTTACCTCCCATGTTAACTTAACTCATAATCTTTATATGGCCTTTTCTTTTCACCTCTATTGCCATAACCTTGTTTGAATCCTTGCAGTCTTTCATCTTTACTACTGCTACATTCTCTCTTTCAACAGCTAGTCCCCACTGCCTCTCACCCTCCACAGTCTCCAGCTTTATATTCCTTAAAAAAAGAAAAAAAAAAAAGGTCAGGTTACTTTTCCCTTCTATGAAAAGCTCTCTACAGGACCACTCTTTTCAATACTAATTAAAGAACAAACTATTTAGTTTGACACAGAAGACATTCTCATTCTGAAACCCCAAGCTGGCCACTTACTGCTAGCTACTCCACCCATTCTCTAAGGGTTCTATTTCCATTCAATTTGTAGCATTTTCAAAAGCACACACATCTTAATATCACTTTAAGCCTTTACACATGCCAAACATTAATGGGTAAATGAGTGTACTAATGATTTCAAGTGTAATTCCAAGTAACCTTGAAAACAAGCCATATTTGGTACCCAGAGCTTTATGAGACGGTGTTTCTAATAGTGAACTTTAATAGGTAATAAGATTGTTAATCCAGTTCTCTATAGACAGCAGTAGAAGAAAACAAGATGAAACCAAAGGAAAGAGATTCAAATTAATTTTTGGTACGTGGGTTTATGTTTTGGGCTGAAGAGTTATTGTCCTAAATATAATTAGTTTTCATGTGATTATATAACTCTGGTATTTAACTGAAGCCCAAGTTGTGAATTTTTACAGGGCTATTTATATGCATGTAGTTCTATATTTTAATATATTGCCAATAATATTCCTTTGTAACCTTATGAACTATATTATATTAATTCAGCATTTGAAGTTAGTATTCAAAGATATGTGGGCACTCTGGTCAGCAGATATTTTAATTCTTAATCAGACTTATGAATTATCAATCAAAATATGGTTCATTAAACCTAAGTAATATTACAAAGTTTTAACAAATATAACTTTTAGTTATATTAATATTCAGGTAATATCACAAGGATTTTTAAAATATAGCTTTTATTAGGTTAAGCTAATGAGGTAATATACAAAATTTTGGTTTGTACTTTTTCAGAGAGATTTGAATCACTCTGGAGATTAATATTTAATCATGGCTTATTAATAATAATGAAGAGAGAACAAGAAACGTGCATTCATTGATGTTTGCGTCTTTGATGCTAAATGATTACACATACCCCATTTAAAATTATTTCAATATATACTTCACTATTCCAGATGTACACGAAATTATCCTCAATGTCACTAAAAGCAAGCTTTTCTGTAATATTTTTTGCTCCTTAATAAAAGCAGTTATCTTAGTAGAATTGCTGACCTGATAATTGCTAGTGGGTCTAAACTGAATGTACTTCAGTTAATGCATCAGTAAGTGAAGTACCTTCAATGCAATTAAAAGATTCTAATCTAACCAAAGAAAAAATCTTGCTCATATTGACCACTTTAAATTCAGACTATGATTTCATATTTTTAAAGTGGCCCATGGCTTAGCTGACCCCATTAGTGGGATACAACTCTCCTTTGGCATAGCCAGTTGCTGCTGAGTAAGCGTTTCTGAAAGCCTCTCAATGAACTTCATCAGACAACTACCATTACCCAATTTCAGAAAAGGCAACACTAAATAAAAAGTCATCAAGACATTTAACATAGAGAATTAGGAAAACACCAGATTGAAATGAAAGCTAATAAATAACTTATCAAGCAACAATAGTTACTGCAGTTTAAGTGAACTGGGTTTTAACTTTTTTACTTGATATTAATGTTTTTCTGCAAGACATTAAATTTGTTCAGGCATTTGTGACTCGACTTGCTGAATACTTAGAATTCTTTAGTTGTCCTCTTGCGATTAATTTAGCGATTGACACTTTTGTGTACCTGCCCACAGAATTTAATATATGGGGGTCATGTCTTCCTGAATGCAGAGCAATTGCCTCACTCCATCTCCCACTACTATTATGGGGAATGCAATTCTCAAATGAATATAGAAAGAAGGCATGGCAATGAGTACATCTAAGGAGTAGTAGCTTTCTTCTAATTGTTAAAAATGGACCTTGAATTTTTAAATTAGAGAGCAGACATTGGGAGAAGGATAAAAAACTTCCTACCCAGAACACATGGACACAGGAAGGGGAACATCACACTCTGGGGACTGTTGTGGGGTGGGGGGAGCGGGGAGGGATAGCATTAGGAGATATACCTAATGCTAAATGACGAGTTAACGGGTGCAGCACACCAGCATGGCACATGTATACATATGTAACTAACCTGCACATTGTGCACATGTACCCTAAAACTTAAAGTATAATAATAATAAAATAAAAAAAAAAGAAGCATACTCACTTTAAGAAGTTAGTTTGACTTTGGGAGCTTGAGGCGGGTGGATCACCTGAGGTTGGGAGTTCAAGACCACCCTGACCAACATGGAGAAACCCCGTCTCTACTAAAAATACAAAAATTAGCTGGGTGTGGTGGCGCATACCTGTAATCCCAGCTACTCGAGAGGCTGAGGCAGGAGAATCACTTGAACCCGGGAGGCGGAGGGTGCGGTGAGCCGAGATCGCATCATTGCACTCCAGCCTGGGCAACAAGAGCGAAACTCCGTCTCAAAAACAAAACAAAACAAAACAAAAAAGAGTTTGGACACTAACTGCATTTGCAGTCCAGTTCAATGGAATGTGTTAGGGAGCAGAGAAATCCTCCCAGGTTGTGGCTATGAGTATGTGTATGTGTAGCCTGGCCCAGGCTGGAGTGCAGTGGCGCGATCTCGGCTCACTGAAAGTTCCATCTCCCGCAGATGCCCTCTTTTAGGTGGTGTCTTCTGTTAGCATTTTCCAAGAAATTGGGAGAGACTACACAAGGAACTCTTCCAGCCAAATGCCATTTTCAATGACTAGTCTTTGTTTTGTTGTGCAATGCAAGGCAAATTGCTTAGTATAAAGGATTTTTCTTACTGCTTGTGAAGAACTAAAGTTCAGCTCCAATTCTCTTCCAAAAATTTATCTCTGACATCCTGAATTCCTTTTCTATAGGGCTCTGAGTATACTTGAACATAGTCCTCTTCCTGTTAGTAATATGAATGTCTTGCCCACCAGATCATAGATCTTCTAGAAGCTAGTTTTTCATTTTACTCCTATTCTGCTGCTACATAATCTATTCAAATTTGATAGGCCTTCAGTCAGTGGAGTGAACTGAATTAAAACTAGCTAATCTGGCCCGATTTTGTTGATTATGCAACCACAGTAGTAATAACTGTGATTATTGATGTGTGTTTATTAAAAACTATGGTGTATATAGAACTTCCAAAGCAGTCAGCAACTCATATTTGTTTATGCCTAGCCCAGCTGTCTCCCCGACTTTTCAGACCATGCAGTACCTTGCCATCTACTAATGTACCACAACTGTTCTGGGATGCATCTGTTTTCCTAATTGGTGGAACTGATAAGGATAAATGAGCCCAGTTCTCCCCCTGCAGGGGTGTGTATGCTGTCATAAACTTACTGAACACAGCCCTCGTATAGGGGGTGGAAGGATGAGAATTACCCCTAGGGAAGGTCCCGATTTGGAGCTGTGGCCACAGACATGGAGAAAACAAAACAAAACAAAATGGGAACACTTGACTTGCTTTAGTAGCACTCTCACTCCCCATCCACTTTTTGACCACCATTCAGCCAGAGCCAGATTGGATGCTGCTTTTTCATGTTCACCCTGCCTGTTTTGGAGTGTCTGGGAAACAAAGAGAGAGGGAGAGAGAGAGGCATTTGCTTCTCCTGATGAACATTTTTGTTAGATACCAGATCTTAGTATCCTTTTTCTTTGGCACTAGCTTCCAAGGTGCACATTTTTCCTACTTCTATTTCCTTTTCCTTTGCAGTATCTTCTGTGACTTTGGCCTTAGGCCAAGTTCTAGCCAGTGCTAATTTGTGCTATTTTATGTAACTTTCTACTTAGGAAATGCTTCTGTGTTTATAGTCTCATTGAGTTCCAGGTTTTTTAGCTGTTGTATTCATTGTTCCATCCATGAAACCTAGCAGATAGCAAAAAATCTGTTGTCATCAGTAAATTCAACTCTCAATAACTTTAGCTCTCCTTTCACTTTGAGTAAATTCTTAGGATCACACAATATCATTATACAGCTTGTCTTGGGTTCCTCGGCTTTGAAACCCTCATTGGCCACCTCCTTTTTTTTCTTTTATCTTTCATCCTATTTATTGACTCATTGTTTTTAGTAAAACTTATGTTTAATTGAATTAGTTTGATCATCTGGTTCCTATTATTCAGCATGTTAGTATGCTTTAAACATTTTTTCATCCTATCTTCAACTTAGCAGCCTTTTCCCATATTTCCGTAAATGCAATCTCAAAATCATGTATTACCTATAAACTGTTTATTTACTTAAATAAAAGATACAGCTAATCTCTCCTTTTACTCTGCCTAAACTGTTGTACCACTAACATTTTTTATTTAAAAAATTATTAATTTAGAAAATGTTTTTTGAACATCTGCTGTGTTCTAGATCTAATTCTAGGTTTTGGGGAATAGATGGGAACAAGAGGCAAAGTAAAGACAGAACAGTATCCAGTTAAGGTGCCATTCATGGCTGATCTGGAATTCCATTTCTGCCTTTGCTTCCTGCAAATTTGGAGACCAATTACCTGTTTTGCTGAGAGTTTGCTTATATGAAAAAGAAGTGGGTGATTGCACCACATCTGAAGTATTTTGGAGCTTTAAACTTTAGTTATCTTTGTGTGAAATGGCAGAAGATTTCTTAAAATCATTTATACTTAATAATTCACAACAAAAATTCACAGAGCTTTTAACCTAGATTTTGCTTCCCTTCCTGCCCTTTGGAACAGGTTTCATTATAGTTGACCTTAAACCTGCATAAGTTTCCCACCAGATTTATCAGGTTAACATTTAACAATATGTAGTTATTTAAATAGATAAGTCTTTAACAATAGCAATCAAAATTAATATATTCTGTAAACAGTTTAGTAGCTGTTTTTTGTTCATTTATAATGAGCAAACTCTCTCTCTTGTTAATGGTTAGATAATTTCAGGAGAATATTTATTTTTCTGCTTGTGTTTTTCTGTAGTATTTATGTTCATGTATTTATAAACAAGTGCTTGCTTAGCTAATGCATAGTATAAAAACTATGACCTTTTTAGTTGTATGTTTCCAAATTTTAGTCAGAATTAAAACTCTTAATAACCTGAGCTGCTTCTCACTAAATTGCATGAGATTTTGTGTATACATCTTAAGTTCTTCAATTGTAAATTTGGATTTAATAGAACTATCAACCTCAAAGTGTTAGAGTGAGAATTAACTGAAATAATTTTTTTAACTTAGCACCTTGCTTGTCACATGATAAGGACTCCATAAATATTAAGTATTGTGATTATTTTCTTTTCCAACCCATATCATTCTTCCACCTACAGGTTTTTAAAGCAAAAATATAAAATAAAACTGCAGTAAAAGAAAAAAGTTATTTAAAAATGAAAGAAACTTATAACTTTGAAGAAAATTAAATATGGTTACAGATTCTTAATAAGACAAGTGATGAATATTTAAGTGTGGAACTTAATTCATGAAATGTTGTATATACTGACAATATTCTACTAAAGAGGCATTTAATATTTAATGATCCCATTATATTTAATAAAACATGAAAGGGTATGGATTTCAAGAATATAATTCTATCCATTAACAGGAAGATTTCATGTAAATGAGTGCCTGTATAATTATCCTTAAAGACTAAGCGTATTTACAATATATTATAGGTACCTCTAAGAACCATATCAGAGTTTCTTAGTATTTTAAGTAATTCAACAAAACATTAACTGGAATGATTTATATATTTTTTTAATTTGAGTGCTTGATCCAATATATTTTTATATAATTTTGCTTTAAAGCACTGTTTTGTTGAATTCTAAAGAGGCTACAATAACTGGGATATCACTAGATTTTATTATATTTCAATATAGTTGTATAAAATATTAATTTTGAAGTAGTTTAAAGGTTTCTTTCCTGCATTAAAAAATAAATTTATAATTTTAATTTATTTAGTCCTATAGTATTATCTGAAAATTATGGTTTCCTTTTGCCCTTCAGTGATATAGAAATTATGGTTGCTTGGTTTATTTATTAAAGTTACTTTTACAGTACTAAATTAAAATACATTTTTATAATTTTTAAGTATGTATTCAATGAAAACGAGTAGGAGGTTGTATCCAGGAGGTGGTATCCCTTTACAGGAATCAAAGTGATTGATAACTGGGCATAGTCTAACATTCCTTAAATAGTTTCCAACCAGTATCACTGTTCAAAGAGAAAAATCAAATGTGGAAATAATTCACTCATTAATTCACATAAGCTTATTAATTCTTATTCCTATTTTCTAAGATGACAAATCACAAATATGAAAAGCATCTAACATCATATTGATTAGGTATTTCACAATTTTTTTCTTGTTTTATTTGAGAAATAAGGTAAAATAATTTATAGACCTGTATAATGGGTTACAAGTCTCATTAAAGTTCCATTTCAGTAAATGCCAAAAGAACCCTATCACAACTCCATTTTACTGACTTTTACTCATTGAATGAGCCAAATCAACTGCTCCAAGATAATTTCCAGGATACCAGGTTTGTGTACTTTATTTCTAAGCTCTTTTGTACTTATGCATCTGTACTCTTCTCATGGCCTGCAAGGATCTTTCCAGTATTTCAGATCTTGATACAGATCCTTTAGGAGTTTTTGTATTTAAAAAGTTATAAACCTAGGGGACTCTGAATTGTACTGGAAAATTCATTGGAATTTTCCCGAGGGAAAATTCTGGAATGTGATCCATATTCTAGGTTCAAAGCACCTCCTAGATTGCACCATTTATACAGTAGGCTTGTCCTGAAAATGAGCTGGGGGCAAAATTGTGAAACAACAAAGTGAATTTGTAGTGTTTGTTAGCTTTCTGGATGGCCATTCTGTCTCTGTAAAGCTATTATGCTCTCTACTATATCATAAAGCAAATTGATAAACAAAATCAATAACAAATCCTAGGAAAAAAACTAATAGTCTTCTACACACATGTTAGAATGGCCAAAATCCAGAACACTGACAACACCAAATGCTGTTGGAATGTAAAATGGCATAGCCAGTTTCTTACAAAACACACTCTTATGACACAATCCAGCAATGAAGTTCCTTGATGTTTTCCCAAAGGAGCTGAAAACATGTCCACAAAGAAACGTGCACATGGATGTTTATAGCAGTTTTACTCATAATTGTTAAAACTTGGAAGTAATCAAAATGTCTTTTAGTGGGTGAGGGGATAAACTGTGGTTCATTCAAACAATGGCACATTATTCACTACTAAGAAACAAATGAGCTCTCAAGCCATGAGGAGATATGGAAGGAACTTAAATGCATTCTATTAAGTAAAAGAAGCCAATCTGAAAAGGCTACACATTGCTTGAGTCCAACTATATGATATTCTGGAAAAGGTAAAACCATGGAGACAGTAAAAAGTTCCCTGGTTACTAGGTGTTAGGGAAGAGAGAAGGATGAATAAGTAGAGCACAGAAGAATTTTAGGGCAGTGATACTACTTTGTATGATACTATAATGATGGCTATTTGCCATTATACATTTGTCCAGACTCATAGCAAGTACAACACCAAGAGTGAAACCTAATGTAAACTATGGACTCTGGTGGAGGATGATAATGAGGAGGCTACCTTTGTGTTGAGGTAAGGGGTAAATAGGAAATCTCTGTACCTTCAGCTCAATATTGCTGTAAGTTTAAAACTACTCCAAAAACAAAGTTTATTTTAAAAGCCTTGATTTTACCCTTACTTATTGAATTTACATTAAAAATAAAGCCTTTGGAAAATGCTATTTAACATTCAGAAAGGGGATCTTTAGTTAAAATAACAATGCTAGTACTTTGGCAAGCCGAGGCGGGCGGATCACGAGGTCAAGAGATCGTGACCATCCTGGCCAATGTGGTGAAACGCTGTCTCTACTAAAAATACAAAAATTATCTGGGCATGGTGGTGCACAACTGTAGTCCCAGCTACTCAGGAGGCTGAGGCAGTAGAATCACTTGAACCCAGGAGGCGGAGGTTGCAGTGAGCCGAGATCGCACCACTGCACTCCAGCCTGGTGACAGAGTGAGACTCCTTCTCAACAACAACACAAAAATTAATAAACAAATAACTAGTTTTTTTGGTACCTGGGATTGAGCTAATAATTGGGACTCTTAGTACCTCAAATCGTATTATAAAGAGTGCTACTAACTAGTAAGAGCATCTTTATTATCAGACCTGCAATTCAATACAGTTTCCACTAATATCTCAAAAGTGACAAACAAAACAACAAAACAAAACCCAAAACTTGCTACGTCATGATAACAGGGAGAATATGAGAATTTGTGCAAGAGATGGAGGTAGAGACGAGCAGCCTTTTCAAGTAGTAGATTTCATGTCCCTGTAATTTAAGTTGATTCCCATGTTTAGATTGGATGTTGAAGGTTGTCAACCCAGGATGTATGGTTTAATAATCTCAGTGACTCCAATAATTTTAATTCTCTTACTACTCACTTACAAGTGGCAGATACCTAAAACAAACTATTTTAAGAAAAAAAAATATGTACTAGAACATAGAACTAAGGAGTCCTTTCATTACCCAGGCTGATTTAATATTTTACCACTATTCTTGGGGGTGGGCTTGTTTATCGGGCCCAAGTGGGAACCCAGAGAGTTAAGGAGGCAATTCCTAAAACGAAAAGAAGTGTGTTAGCAAAAGGAGGATAGGAGTGTGCATAGCTACTATAGCCCATTACAGTGACAAAAGGGATTTAGCGTATTAACTGGAATATTTTGATGCCCATTGCTAGTGAAACTACCTTAATGACTAAAGCAATACTCTCTCTGTTACCATATGGAGTAGTTTCTTGACAAGGAAAAAGGAACACTGAGGGAAAAGAGATAGTACATACTGTGGGAGAGGAAGTGGTAGTAACAGTTAAAATCAAGTTACTTCTGGTCCTAGTTGACCCTGTAATCGTCAACTTTAAAGAGTAAATCTTGAGCAACACTCTGGTGGTAAGTGGTGCACCATCAGGAAAGGATTAGCAGAAAGTCAAAAGGGTTTGTTTTTTCCACGGAAAACACCCTGACTATAGCTTCCTAGAGTTAAAATTTGAAAGCCATTAGCAGAAACACACTGACTGATATGAACTGTTGTATTTCTTCATAGACATGTTCTAAAAGGAGTTAGCATGCTTTGTTTCGCTCATTCCATGCTCAGTAGCCTTAGGGTGCAGAACAGAGAATGCACTATGACCTTTTTTCCTACTATTGTCTCTAAATGGATCTCAGCGTGACAATAAATACTAATGTTGTAATAGGAATTGAAACACAACAGTAACAAAATTAAGGTTAAAATTCTTTTTCTTCTGTTAAAATTCTATTTCATTAGTGATACACCCCCAAAATAGTACCTATTTTTTGAAATTGTTATACTTGTTCAAAAGCTTGCAAATTAGTGTAAGCTCAGGACCTGCCGAACATCCTTTCAGCATTATGAGATTCCAGAAAATGTGAATAGGATGTTTCAGTTGTTAGGTAATTTCCAGATGCCTTTTTTTTGTGCTCAGATAATTCAAATGGCTTCTTTTCAATACTTCAGGCTTGTCATGTACACTATATTAGAGTGTGTAACATTTTTGAAGGAATTTGGCACAGGCATCGCTTTTCCACTTCTGACTCTCTAAGTTTGAAGAGTGCCTGCCAAGATCGTTATAAATACATCCTAATAAATATATTTTCACCAATTTTTGAAGTTCCCTTTTACTTCAAGTGTCAATATTGTATGTGTTACGATAAGAGTAGTTTAATTAGCTATGGTTTTTACTGATATTTTGAATAAATACACTTAGGCTATATTTATAGCAAACCTCAATATTTGCAAATCATACAGACAGCATGATTTATATGTGATCATTAAGATACACACTTAGCTTAATTTCAGTCACTATTTCTGTGTCCTTAGGTAAGTAGGAAGGTAGGTAAAATTTCCTCAAAATTATAGACACAAAATTTAGAGTGTTTCTTTGTCTTCTTTATTGCTTTTTTGGCTTAGTTGAGTCATAATTTACATTACTGTCATTTCCTGTTTTCTTACCTTAACATTACTATAACAAGAAAATGTGTAGAGTATGACTTAATAAACTGCTTTAAAAAGTTTATTATATTTTTGGATATACATAAAATTTTTAAACAATTTTAGAATATACAAGTGTTCGGCTGGGCGTGGTGCCTCATGCCTATAATCCCAGCACTTTAGGAGGCCCAGGTGGCCAGATCACGATGTCAGGAGTTCGAGAGCAGCCTGGCAAACACAGTGAAACCGTGTCTCTACTAAAAATACAAAAAATAAGCCGGGCGTGGTGGTGTGCACCTGTAACCCAGCTACTTGGGAGGCTGAGGCAGGAGAATCATGTGAACCCGGAAGGCAGCGGAGGTTTCAGTCAGCCGAAATTGAACCGTTGCACTCCAGCCTGGGCGACAGTGTGAGACTCTGTCTCAAAAAATAAATAAATAAATAAAAGAATATGTAAGTGTTCATCCATTCAAACATTTATTTCCTCATTATTTTTATAAAATCTTTCTAAATGAAGAGTGCAAATAACTCCCAAAAACTAATTTTTGCTAAAACATTTGAGGCAGCATGGTATAAGGGTTAGTCACATTCCAAAACAGTGTTATGTTATAGCGGACCTGCCATAATTTCATGCTAATATAATTCAAAACTGATTCTAATGGAGGATGGCAGGTACATTTGTTAACCTGATAAAGCAGAAATGGAAAGCAAACCTCGTTTGCAACTAACTCAGTCCACCAATATTGAGCTTATGTTATTCTTGCCAAATTTAATAATTTCTGGGATTAATACAATTTTAAAATGTGTGCATTAAGAGAGAATTTTCCCTAATGAAGATTTGCATAACTCATTTCGCAACCACACTATAACGGAAAGAAGCTTTAATTTGGATTTGATAACAGTTGGGTTGGAATCCTAGCGATGTGTAAATTTAGAGAAGTTGCTTAGTATTTCCAAGACTCAGCTTTTTCATCTAAAAGAGGAGAGAATAATACATACTTCAGACAATTTCTGGAGATTATATGTAGTGCCTAAGTACTTGCCTACAAAAGAGATTACTAAGTACTTGCCTACAAAAGAGATTACTTGCCTACAAAAGAGATTAATATTATTCTATTTATTTCCATGATTGCTAACAGTATTTGATCATTCCTCTAGCTTATTGTTTCCACAACTGGCTTTTTAGCTTGTTGTTTCCACAACTGGCTTTTTAGCTTGTTGTTGAAATTTACTTCTTCTGTAGTGGTTGGTCAAAGATGGCTGAAATGCCTGATGGGATTTCTGATATTTTTGTATTTGTCCTTGTACTAAGTGATGAGTTTTCCATGCCTATTGGTTCACAAATGGGGAATCCAGCAAACTGATAAAACTTCAGTGACAGGAGAGACTATAACTTATTTTCTCAGTTAATTATGAGAAATTTGGACAGACAAATGTACAAGATCTTTCAAGCAAAATCTGGCAATTTTACTCTCCCAACCCTGTTTGCTGCTGGGATTGTTTAGTTCATGAGTCCAGGGTTTCAGATGAATTGTGGACTACACCAACTTTATTTAAATTTTTTAAAGTATTGAAAATGTTTTTTAAAAGGGAAGCAGCTTTATACTCAAAATATAAATTGAGTATGGAACTTGTTTTCATTAAAATAGTAGCAAATGGCAAGTTATTAATATTAAGTTAAATTGCCTCTATGTTTAAATTATGGTTATGAAGAAACAATAATATGTTTCATAAAATTAGTGTACTTATTTCTCATAATCTATGCTTCATTCACCTAATAATTAATTTACTTGTATAAAAGGAATTTTATTATGGTGTATACTCTATTATCAACTGTCTGGACTTGTCTTAATTAGACTAGCTATAAAAAGGGAAAACTAAATTCTGACAGCTTTATGTAGTTATTTACATTGCTTTACTTTTCGTATGCTTTTAAAAATTAGGTTACTCATTCAATGGATTTAATGATAAAAAATATTATGAAATTACCCTTATTAATTAAAATCATGCTTTGTGTAATTTATCCATGTCTTTATAAGCTTTGTATTTTTAATAAAAGGCACATTGCCCATATTGTCTGTGCCCTTTTGTCTGGTAACTTTAGAATATAGTCTATTTGTCTAATATCATTTTCTTCTAAGTTAATTAGATAATTTACAAAATCAGGATCATTAAAAATACTCTAGCAATGTCCTCTGGATCAGTTTCTCTCAGTAATTTTGAATAATTCTATGGTGTTCAGGGATTCCTTACAAATAAGTTGAATTAATTGAGAATGAAAGAATATAGAGGGGAACAATTAATTTCAAGAAAATGTGTAAATGCTACTCTTATTGAAAGACACTGAAAAAATTATTAACTGCTTGTCAACCCCTGCATCTTCTATAGACAACAAGAAGAGTTGTCATAAGCATTATCTGGGTCACAGCATGATTTGTATGGGAACCATGTAGCAGAACTGTGTCCTGGAATCAAACTAAAGAAATAGCACTTAAAAATTCTCTCTGTCTCAATAGTGTTTAGAAGATACACTGTGCGAGTTATTTCCTCTGATTTGTCCAATAAAATTATTTTACTGCCTTCTGGAATGGATTTCCACATCTTGTACTTAGTTAAAACCTATTTACTTATGCTTGGAATCTTTTGCTTTGTTAAAGGGTATCACTCTCATTGTCATCACAAGATTCACATGATGCATTTTTAGATGACAGAGAACATAAACCTCTCTAATTATGTGAATTAACAAATATCTTAACTTTTGGACCGATTTTTCCACTAGTTTATGTATTACTTGAATTATTCATAGAAAGAATTATGTTTCCTTTTGAAATTTATTTGAAAGCCAGGGTATTTAACAACATAGAAAATATAAGTTTATTTTTCTGATTTTTTTGTGAATTTTGAGAAAAATGTTGGCTATTTCTTATGAAAATAGGAAGATACATAAAAATTATCTGAAATAACTGAGTTTTTCTCTTCCATATTTTGTTTTGATTTTATATTTATTTTATATGTTATTTATTTCAGAATATCTAGAAAGTATTAATTTGTGTAAGTAGTTGTGATTTTAAATACTACCATGTTTGTTTTATATATGAATATCAAAAAAACTCCACAAATTTTCCAAATGGAAATATTGAAATAAAACAAAAACCCACATGGTTATCCAAGATAAGAATGAATTGGGTGATTATGGTTCATTTTTATTTGATAATAATCCAAGTATCCAAGCAGTTGCTAAAGATAGTGGCACTATCAATATAAGAAAGCTATTGCTGTTGAGGGAAAACTATTCTAAAAATCATTTCCTTGATTGTCTTCCTTATGAACCTCAAGTTATTTGACTGTAGGAGTTAGTTTTTCCCCAAGTAAAATTGCAAGCAGCCATTTTACTGGATTGTGTTGGGTTCTGTGTTTTGCAAGTAAGATGTATCTTCTTAATGTGTTTATTGTATGAAAAGGCAAGACATAGATTTTACAACAAACATAAAATCTAACAGAGCCTTCCTTATCTGTTGTTTCCCACGAGGGTTCATTTGACATCTACTTGAACTATAGTAAGCTATTTTTATAATGAGGCTCAGATAATCAAATCAAAATTATGTGTGATACCTGGTCTCAGTGCATGATCTTCCAGAGGTTATCTTTAGATTAGAATGGCTTTATAAACATAGAGATAATTTTGCATTCATATTTTAAACCACTAGTTTAAATTCACAAAAGGTTTTCCTGCCAGTTTTAATATAGCAAATATGTTCTCCGGAGCAAGTAATTCCCATCCAATTTTAAGGTCCTGATGTTCCCCTTTTAATGCCTGAAGTACCCCTTTTAATGCCTGAAGTACAGAACTGAAAGAAAACATTTAACAATAAGGGACAGGTACTAAGGAACAAACTTCAGAAACTATGCAATTACTGATCAAAATGCAAAGAGTGAAATTTTATTTTTTTAATGTTGTTTATAATTGAGCAAGAGTAGATTTGACCAGCATGCAGCTCTGTAAACATTTTGGTAAATTTTGAGACTTGCAACGCTTGCTAACAATTGTTCTGGAACTCTGGATTTCTCAGGCTTGGTAAGAGCCTTATAAAAAGGTTAGCTTGGACGTTTCCAGGAATGGACACAGAGCAATGCGTGTTTTCTTCTGTGATCAGGGGCAGGTAGCCAGAGGCTCAGATTTGCTAATCTCAATTTGGCACCAATAAATAACCACCTGGTTAACTGTGAGTTATAATAGCTTTCATTAAACAGAAATGGATGCAAAAAAATATTTTATTTGTTACATTATTTTCTTCAGATACTCCCATACCTATTTGATCTAATACTGTGGGAATAAGGAAAATATTTAGAAAGTTAGGTGTATCTGGAAAGGGGAAAGATTTTTCATCAAAAAGCTAGATAACTTTCCCTAAAAACGATTGCATTACCACAGATCCACAAAAATTACAGTAAGAATACCAAGCCACAAGCTATTTCTTTGTGAAGCTAATTTTAAACTACAGCCTTTCTTCTTCCCAATTGCAACACTTTTGGAGAGGTTTATGTATGCAATGTTAGCTTTATGTAGGGAATATAGTCATTTCTTGTTATGTTCTATAAAGTCTCTGGAACACTGAGTTAACAAATACTGAACCTCCTTGGGAAAATACAGGGTTAGAATTCTGTAAACCACTCTGGTCATAATATTTTTGTCAACCAATCAATATATAACCTTTTTGTATGTGTGTTTCTATTTAAAGACACCGTATTTAATATATATCGTTGAATCATTATCATTGAACTCATGCCGACAGAGGTGTAACTCTTGCCTGAACACAGTTTATCTAACACAGATATTTTCTCTCTGAGGTTCATCACAGCCTTCTTGCCCTTAGGAGCACTAGATAGATGGTACTTATGTACTCTGTTTGGAGGCTATTTTAAACAGCAAAATCATCTGCATAGAGCACAAAAAATGAGAAAAATGTAGCATGAAATAGACCTTAAAAAGGACACTTGTTTACAGTATGAAATCTAAAACAAGAAGGCAGAGCATTGCCTTGTTTGACCTCAGCTGAGAATGTGCATATCAGGCAGCTCAAATTTTTTAGTGCTCTGCACATGTCGGCAAATGACCATGAAAGCACTGCAAGTATTGGCTTTAGGGTTGCAAAAAAGTTTTATTGAGTAGGCAAATTTGCAAATACAGAATCTGGGAATAATGAAGAATGACTCTACCACATATTTTGAAAGAGAATGATTTTGAAACGTGTTTGTATATAAGACCACTCTATGGAGGCTCTGAATTCTGGAAAGTAATTATATAATTTTAGAGTTGGATGAGATCTTAGGGGCCAGCTAGTCCAAACTCCCATAGCATGTAGAAATTTCCTATAAAATATTTCTGAAGAATTTACATCAAATTTCGGTTTTAATGTTTACGATATTTACCGTGATTGGGACCTTACAAATTTCACAGGCATATTACTACTTTGGCTGTTTTAATATAACATATAGGTTGCTTCTACTTTCTCTCTCTCTCTCTCTCTCTCTCTCTCTCTCTCCCTGCCCCAGGGTATAGTGTAGTGGTACAATCATAGCTCACTGTAACCTTGACTTAGTTGGCTTAAGCAATCCTCCTACCTTACACTCTAGAGTAGTTGGGACTACAGGTGTGCATCACCACGCCCAGCTAATTATTTTTTTTTTGCCTTTTTATTTTTTGTAGAGATGAGGCCTTGCTATGTTGCTCAGGCTGGACTTGAACTCTTGGGCTCAAGCAATCCTCCCACTTCGGCCTCCCAAAGCACTGCTTCTATTCTTTTAAAGCTATAGAGAGCATAAGTCCTTGACTTTGTTCACAAAAAAAAACAGTCTTTTACTTATTCCAAGGTTGCTAATATGCTGATACTTTTCTAAGTAAAATATCTTAAGATGACTTTTTAATACTAGTTTTATATGCCTTCATACAAATTGTTGAATAAAAAACTAAAAGATGAATAGGAGAGTCTCAATGTTCAAAGTTTTAAACCCATGATTGAATGCAACTCTTGGTTCAACATTCTGCATGTCAGTTTGCTGAAACAAATTCACTCTTGGTTGTTGTTTTTTTTAATGTAGTTGCTTTTTTCAAATACTTTTTTGAAACACACATACATTTTTGTATGTATGTGTTCGTGTGCATGTGTATATGTGTGTGCATGTGTATATACAGACACAAATACATATATGTGCCTATGTATGTACATTTGTATAGGTATATAATATAACTTGATACTCATGATTAGCCACTCTGGTGACATTATCAATAAGAAAACAAAGTAAATGGCTTCACTGATGAAATTTCATTTTACAAGGGATTAACTCCATGATTTTGCTACATGTTATAATCAATGCATTTCTCTTTACCTTCCACCTGTTACACAAAATGAGAAACATTGTGGATATTCTTTTTGTCACAATCAGATTAACCTAGATAACTTGTTCAGTTGTTGGGGTTTCAAAATTTAATTAACAAATTGAAGTGAATCAAAAAATATCTCTTCACGATGATCTGTTGAGATTTCTATGTCTTGTAACTGGCCATTTGACATCCTCTCTGTCCCTTTCTCTCTCATCTCCTTTCTCTATTTAATTATTCACTTTCTCTAGAGATATTCATATTTTTGAAATTTTTTAGTTCATATAAAAATATGTATTTTCTGTACCCTGATAATTCTATTTTTAATATTTTAGTTTAACTTAATTTATTGATCTATTTTATCTGTCCATTATCTTTCTATCTATCCATCTATCCATCCGTCTATCTATCTACCCTTGTGTTCATGTACATATGTATAAATGTGTGTATATACTATGGTTATAACTGTAACAGTTTGCAATAACTTAAATACATGAAATTATTTTTTCAACAAAATCTTTTTTAAAAAATAATACAAAATAGGTTCAAAGATCAGAAAGGCAAGTGATATTTTTTGCTCACCTAGAGATGGTCATTTGTTAATCTCAATGTCTCTTTCCCATCTATACAGACAATACTATTTATCTTATAGAAACGTTTTAAAGATAAAAGAGTTAAGATTAATTATACCATGGGATCAAAGATATGAAACGCCTTCTAAGAAGTGTTGTTGATACTCATAGTTTTATACAGGAAATGAATATTAAGTACCTTAAAACATTAATATCTCTGAGACCTTTGAACTATTTTCTCTTTAAACATAATTTATTTTATGTAAAATTAAAAAAATAAACATGTATTCTTAATCCCACTCCTTCTTCAGCGAAGACACTCAGATTTCGAATAATTAAATGCCTTCAAATATGTGATTAATAGTTGCAGAGAAACTTAATTGAATCAAAACTGTTAAATATTTTGCTGGTACTCTAGCCAAGAAAATCTGGGGGTGTCTTCTGTGATTAACAGGCTTTTGTTAGGTAAACCCATATTTAAAAATTTTTATTCTACATTATGATGTTATATTATGTTAGGACCACATTTTTTTTCTTAACATGATTTGCTCAATCTGATATTTACATTTAGTAGCAACATCATTTCTTAATATTTTTGGTGAAATTTTGTCCCAATTACTGTCGATATCAATTGTTTCTGGCCATGTTCTTTGCTCCCTTTTCCTCTGTTTATGCTATATGGTTATTTTGTTTTTTCCCCAGAAATATTTCTCCTTCTTTACTTTTGTGGTGTCTTACTGTTATGCCCCTTGGTGTTTTCCAAGGTTGCATCTCTTGCTGTGCACTGTCACATGCATTTCTCTTTGTGAGCGACAGCAAAAAGAATTTTCTACATCCTTAGTTTTGTTAAAGTCAGTGTTATGAAGATCAGAATTGGAGTCTGTTTCACTTTATTACCCATCACAATCAGAAGCAAAAATACTGTAAAGGCATACAGATTCATTCAAAGGAAGCATTGACTGACAAATTCTCAGATGTCTTTCAACTATGGATTACTTAGAAAACAACTTGCTAGAGTAAATAATTATTATTTTTTTGTCTTTCCTTTTTATTATTTTCAGCCTAGGCTTTCTAACAACTAGCTGGTGAATATGGTAAAGTTGAAAGTGTCATTATCATTTGTTAATCTGGGTAGCTCTTTTACCATCTCCACAGACAAACATGTAGAGTCATTGAGCAGAATTTACAAGAAATGCCTTTTACCTGGCTTTCCTTTTCTTTCTTTTTTTCTTTGTTTCTTTTTATTAGAGACAGGGTCTTGCTCTGTTGCTCAGGATGGAGTGCTATGGTGTGATCACAGCTCACTATAGCCTTGAACTCTTGGGTTCAAGTGATCCTCCCACCTCAGCCTCCCAAATAGTCAAGACTGCAGGCAAGTGCCACCATGTCCAGCCAATTTTATTTTACTACTTTTTCATAATAGAGATGGGGGTCTCTGTTTCCTGCCCAGGCTTGTCTCAAACTCCTGGCCTCAAGCAATCCTTCTGCCTCAGCCTCTCAAAGTGCTGGGATTACAGGCATGAGCTACCTCACCTGGCCGTATCCTTTGAGAATCTCCATCCACACAAGGATGCGCTTGTTATCCTAAACTAGAAGTAGCTAGAGATAAAAGGCCAAATACTAAAAATAGTGGTCTATTTTTCTATTAAAATAATTTCTTTCCATTCTCAAATTTTTAAGCCTCAGATTACAAAGTATGGAATTCCATGATTTATAAGAGTTAAAGAAAACCTACTTCAGATTGTTACTTGTTAAGTAAATAATACATTTTGCTACAATTGTCTATGGTTACCTTGATTTTTCAAAGATGAGATTGTTTAAAAAAATCTTATATTTTTAGGACTAGAAATTCTATGAAAAAGCTAGAAAAGTAACTGAAAGCATTATATTAAATGGCTAAAATAGAAAATTTACCATATTTGGTGAAAGATAGGGATCAAACAGCAAAGTGGAATCTATTTTTGGAAGCAGTCTTTTGTTGCAATCTGTTGGCAGCAAGAGTTAGCCAGTTTTATTATTACCAATCTGTTACAAATATGACTACTTAAGACTACTTAAACCAAAAAAATAAAATTTTGTGAACTTGCTGCTATGATGTACACATTTCTACAGAGTATTGTGCAATAAGAAAGGATTCCCAGGCAACTCTTTAGTGTATTATACAAATAAGTCTTACCTTACTATTGAAAACTTTGTAAAGAAAAAATGATAATGAAAACCCTATTTTTAAAGTATTAGTCCTGGAAAGGGGATGGAAATTTATGTATTTACAATTTTATTACTTAACTTATGGCCTTGAAATAGATGGTTTAATTTGCCTCTGTATGTGTGTCTTCTCATCTGTAAAATGTTGATAAGAAGCTAATTTAAATTTGTAAACTGTAATTATAGCTTCAAAATTATAAAAATAGAAGTCTCTAGTAACCCTATTGATAGTATTTGCAGGTAGGGTAAAATGTTTTTTCGGTTCACAAACTTTTTAAGAGGCTGTTGAGCTGCCAGTTTTTCTTCCACAAAATTGTGTTGTGGTAAAACAATATCTTACATGATTAAATTGTTGATTGCTGATAATAATGACAAAGTTAGAAGTTTTGATTTAGCTGGCCATTGTTTTTTATTTAATTTTTTTATTAATTATGTAAACTATTTCAAATTCTGGTTGTAGAAGAGGGAAAGCAACGAAGCGTTTGCTGGTTAACACATACATAACACAAATATCTTTTTCTCATTCTACACATCTGTTCGAGTATTATTTTCCACTATTCTCTTATGGCCACACCTAAGCTGACTCAGCATTCTTTGTTCATTCAATATTCACAAAGTACTTTTTTTGTTTTAAGCACTTAGAAGATGTAAATGCAAAATAAGATAAGGCCCTTGTTCTCAAGACACTTCCCTTTTAAATAAGTCATTTAGAAAAGTAAATAAGCAATTCTACTGTAAAGTCATACTGCCATGCTAGGGATAAAACACAGGGTGCTTCTGAGGCATGTATGTGAGATGCCTAACTGAGATTCTGGGTAGGGATAAATGAAATACATTTTCTTGGTAGACCAATATCTGAGCTGGTGATTTGAAGGAGTGATCTTTCAGCCAGACAAAGTTTGAAGAAGTGGGCACCCTACTTAAAGGCCCCGAAGCAGGAGAAGAATTTCAGGTAGTCAGCTGAATTCAAAATTTGATCTATCTCATGAATATCATTTTAAGCCATGTTAAGTAGTTTGATTTTATTTTAATGTATATGGGATAGTGTTCATGGATTTTAAGCAGTTATAAGACCTCCATGATCATCCATTTTGTCTTTTCAAAAGCTTTGTCTGGCAGCAATATGGACTGAATACAGTGGCAAATACTGATGTCCAGAAAAGGAAGAGAATGTGATGGCTCGGCACATCCAAGTTGCAATAACTAATGGCAGTTGACTGCTCTGTTCTGAAGCTCAAAAGAACTGTCAGTCTAATATCATGAGAAACAACCTTTAATATCAGTGGTAAATTTATAGCCCCTCCAATGAGTAGCTGGGCTACTTATATTCCAATGCCCTTGGTAAATAGCAATAATAGGACATCTAACTTGTACCACTCTCTCAGATTCTGGAGTAGCATTTGGCAAACTTTTCCTTAAGGGGTCACTTCATAAATATTTCAGGCATTCTAGCCTTATAATCTCTATTTCAGCCATTCAGCACTGCTACTTTAGCAGGAAAACAGCCACAAATAATGTGTAAAATGATGGGTGTAGCTGTGTTCCAATAAAACTTATTTATAAAAAGAGGCAGTGGACCTCTGGCTGTAGTTTGCCTCATGGATCATGGCTAATGGAATTAAAACTGCATGGTACATCAGCTTCACTACATTCAGTGGACAGAGTGGACCTTTGACTTTACTACATATGCTGATTGGAAAAAAAATTCATCCTAGTTTCTTTATTTTGTATTATTATTTTATACTATGGGTCACAGACAGAGGACCAAACTTCAGGGCAGATAAATAAGGAAAAATCCACTAGACAATTAAAATAACAGTATTTTGTGCATTCATAATGATGAGCCATTAGCACTGTCTGTGAATAGAACGTGCAGAGATGGAATAACGTGAGTTGTTTTACCAAGAAGCAGATGGTTCTAAGATCTGATAAAAAAAAAAATACAGTTTTTTTTTCTTTTATACATCTGATTTTCACTGACCTGATTTGGATTAGGCCCCAGATGTGGGCACTCTTGTTATTTTTCTGTCTTTCTTAATGGAATTGTGTGTGTTGTATTTTTCAATTACCAACTCTGAGGAGTTTAGCAATGAATTTTTAATTTCTCAACTTAAAGTGGGATTCAATTATGATTTTTCCATTAAACATCTTTTCTTATGGGATTTTAACTGAGTGGGAGTCTAATATTAATTCTAATTGCAGCTTTATTAATAAATAAGAGAGAGAATGCTCTCCTACTACTATGTATAGATGTACGGCCAGCAGAAGTAACTGCAGACAGTCACAGGGAAAGAGATGCTTTTAAGGCTTTACTGTACACAGACACAAACAATGTGGCCTAGCTGGATAGCTGTGAAATCAAAGCAGCCAGCAGATCAACATTGCATGCAGCTTTATGGAGTACTCTCTGCTTAAAAACAAACTTAGAGCTGACTCTGAGCCCAAAAGAGTTATGAACAGAGACAAGCCTTAGAGAAGGGGGCTGAAGATTATAATCAAAGGGCATAATTTGTGTGTACCCAGCAGGGAAATCACTTTGGGAAGTAGATTGGCTGTTTGAGCCACACAACCTTAGATCACATTCACTGTCAGAGAGACTGTCTACAAACCTGGAGGAAAACATTAAGATAGTTCCTCTTCTCCTAGCAGCATGTGAAATAAATAAATAAATAAATAAAAGGTTAGAAATATTTTCTTTGAATCACAATTAAACATATGACTTATTCTAGTTTGGAGAAACATTGAAATTACTTGGAAGTCTAACTTTCTAGAATGCAATTCTTATACCTAGGTCTCTGGCTGGAACTTCATGCTAAATGCCGGGAAACATGGTCAAGGATAAAAATGCATGCCTGGTTTGATTATCCTCAGTTTGATTATCTTTCTTGTAGGGTAGCAACAATATTTACTGAATGCCAAGCTAATATGTACACTTTGAAATATATAATCTCATTTTCACCACTATATTTCAAGGTCCATATTAATGAATTATTAATAATTTTAAGAGCCCGTTGTAATAATATCAAACTTAAAAGATAAAATATAAAAAAAATCACCCATGCCTCTGTTTTAATTTGTCTACTTTCTTTAAATTCTTATGTCCTATAGTGTCTCTGAAATTGGCAAACTAATTTCTCTTGCAACATCTTGACCATTATACATTCGTGCATTGATTATCCCTTAGGGTATTTTCCATCTGCCAATTAATGTCCAATAAAATGTTGCTTAGATTTAAAAGCTTAATCAAATTAATTCTTACTATATATTTACAGTGTATTTAGAGCAACCTATATATTAAAGTTATTGAAATTATTTGTTTTCTTCAGAGAGCTATCTCTTTTGGAGGTAAAAAGGACATAAAATATTAAGAAATAAGGAAAAATATTGATTAAAATACTTTTAGTTGTTAGAATTTTAATTATTTAGAAAAAATTCTCGAATCAGGTAGTATTCAAGCTTGTAGTGATGCAAAGATTAATATGGCAGTCTATCTTATTTAAGAATTTACAGTCTAGTGTGAGGTCAGCAATTTTTTCTGTACAGGGAAAAATAGTGAATATTTCAAAATTGTGAAACAAAGAGTCTCTGTGGCAACTACTCATTGTTGCATAACAGACAATATGCAAACAAATGAGTGTGTCTGTGTTCCAATAAAACTGTATTTACAAAAGCAGAAGGCCACCCATGTGCCAATGTCCAAAGTTTCTCAACCAACCCCTGGTCTAGTAGGTAATAAAGGCATACAAAGAAATTATTAAATTTAATTGTGATAGTAATAAAGTAAAGACGTCCAAAGGATGCAGAGTTTAACTCCGAGAGAATGCTTTAACAGAAGTCACCATTTTAAATAGATACTAAAAATAATGTGTAGTGATTAGTTAGCTTGAGAAACGCAAATGAAGAGTTCTGAACACAAACACAAAAAATACCACAATGCGTTTACTGTGGCTTTTGAATCTGAGATTGAATCATAGTTTGTGTGCCTGTAGAGGAGGCTGGCAATTCTGTTATTGCCTCATACAGATTCTTAATGAATTTGGTAATTATTGAGTAGCCATTAGTGATGTTAATTTCGAGGGAGTGAGATGACAAATCTGTGTTAGAAAATCACTTCTGTTAAGAACTGGAAAACGAAAGTCTTGGAGGCAGTCATTACTCTAGTTGGCCTTGTCAGAAAAGCTAATGACATGCAGAATTTCTAGGAATTTGAGAGTAGAATTGGATGGTCCAGGAAGAGTTCATAATTCATAAATATTCCTATATGCCTATCTTTCTGAAAGGACTAACTGAGTCTGGCAAGAATCAATGCCTCAGAGAGCAGTTGGCTCAACTACCTAAAACACTGCCATTGGCTCATGAAAATTATGTCTGCAGTTGGCACCAACTCCAGTCTACTTCTGTTAGTTTTCAAATGGTGGAGTGAGAGAGAGGACCTCGTAATCTATTTATAGCTAACTATCGATATGTGATTTTTTTCTATGACTTTTTGTATATATAATACAAAGTTTTATAAATTTTGCTTTTGTCTTATCTTGAAAACTTAGATGTGAAGGAAGAGCACATTCACTTTATTCCCAGTCAGAAGTGGTCTCATTTGATGGTAATACACCCATTCAATTTTCAGTTGCATGTTGAATTACCTTACATTGTATGTTAACTTCCCATGGCCTGGTGCAAATTGTGAGGGCGCTTTAGTTAAACCATAAACCATGGCTACTTACTCATGGACTCTCGCTTGACAAGATTGTAAACTTCACTGGAAAGTCCTGAGGTTCTACTTTTTATTTTAAAAGTGAGGGAAAAAATATAGGGAAGTAGGAACGGAGAAGAGACAGAAGTAGAAATCAATGAGGTTTCTACTCAAAAACAAAAATTAGAAAAAAAAATTGATTTCAGAAGTGGAAAAATGAAGCAGACGGAATTAAAGAAAATTGAGGGATCAGATACATGTGATGATATAAGAAACATATATAAAGAGTCATATATATATATAATTTATATGGCCTTGCATACATGGCATGTCATGTTTTAGTTATCGTTTTTCTCAAAAGTACAAAGAAAGGTAGACTTGTAGCTCATGTTTTCCATCTCTAGACTTTTAGAATGAAGGTGAGCCTAAATGACGGATACTAAATGAAATCTTTAGTTTGCATTTTAGAGAAAGCATAGCAAGAAAAAGAACAAAAGTGAGGATCAGGGAAAAGTGAATATAAAGGTACTGAAATTTGTTCTTGGGATTGCCATAGTTCTGGTTTTCATTGTTTGTATAAATGTTCCTAGTGTATGTATAGTGAGAGATGTCTGCGCAGCCAGATGTCAGGAACATTTTAGAGCAGGGCTTGTTCACAGCTTGTGGATCCCTGGGGAAGTTGAGAATGAATGGACCTAAACTTTTTCTCTCAATATTTGGCATTTCTTCTAGCATATGATGCTTGTCTTGTCTGATATTTTAATTCCTCCCTGCAAATTCAGAGACATTAAAGATAGAAGTGGCTTCAAAAGATTAATAGAGAATAATATATAAAAGTTATCAGAGTGATAAATATGAGTGGAAGATAGAAATTAAAATATACAGGTAATTTGGTGGATCTGTTCAAGTTACAGCTCACGAGTTGAAAGTCCTTAGTTCTAATTTCAGAATTACAACTAGCTAAATGGGTATCTTTGGATAACTCACTTAACTTCTCTGTTCCTCATATGTAAAATAGAAAGAATGGACCAAATTACATTGATTCCAATTACCTATATTATTGCATTTTTGAATAAATACCAATTCTTGATCCTTGGTAATATCTAATTTAATTTTTGAAAATATGTAGTTTGGCCGAGCTCAGTGGCTCACCCCTGTAATCCTAGCACTTTGGGAAGCCAAGGCGGACGGATTGCCTGAACTCAGGAGTTCGAGACCAGCCTGGACAACACGGTGAAACCCCGTTTCTACTAAAATAGAAAAAATCAACTGGGTGTGGCAGCGTGCACCTGTAGTCCCAGTTACTCGGGAGGCTGAGGCAGGAGAATCACTTGAACCCCGGAGGTGGAGGTTGCAGTGAGCCAAGATTGTGCCACTGTGCTCCAGCCTGGGCAACAGAGCAAGATTCTATCTCAATAAATAAATAAATAAATAAATAAATAAATAAATAAATAAATATTTTAAAAAATAAATAAAATTTGTTGTAAGCTAAATAAGATAAAGGATATTATATACGTTATTTCAACTCCCAAAATGTCATAAAGTGAGCTGTTCACTATAGACAAAAGTAAACTAACTTAGAGTTACTTTTTTTTGCAAAATCCACTAATCATATTCATGAATAGAGAATACCCCAATAAAGATTTTGAAGGAAATAATTGAAAGCCTTTTTCAAAATGCAAACATCTGGAAACAATGGTATAGGGTTGTAGAAAGTGGAGTAATGGGAAGAATTTTTATTAATGCAACCCAAGATCCAAATTGCCACATCAGAGTTCAATGATAGTCACCTCTCTTGAAAAAGAACATAAATTACAAAACATGGAGATAGCACAAAAACTATTAAACCAATCTCACAAGACAAGAAAACTGAAACCTAAAAGGATATTTGATACCGTAATTAGAATGTATAAATAGTCCAGGAATACCAAAGTCTTGTATTTTATTGCGCACAGATGCTAGCACTATAAAATGAACAGAATAACTTAAGCCACCTCAAAACATGTCAAGGGCTAAGAGCACTTCTACCTATAATATTCCATAATTCTATTACTGACTTTGAAGCTGAAATAAAATAAACTTGTAACTCCTGATTCCAAGCACTTAGAATTCTTCCAATCCCTGGCATTAAGTTTCCCTTTAAGATCAAAAAACAAAAACAAAAAACAAATCTTTGCTACATCTTAAAGACTTCTTGCCTGGGCTTTACTTAAACCTGTCCTTGTTACTCCCCTCCTATGGCAGGTATTATGTCATATGCGCCTTAGGTGATTTTTTTTTTCTCCTAAATGTACTAGCTAATTTATATTGCAATATATATTGTGATAATAATTTGAGAATTTTCTTAGAATATTCACCAAACATTTTTCTTTAATTTTCCCAAATCACTCTGTTTATGTCTTTTTTTTTTTTTTTTTTTTTTTTTTTTTTGAGATGGAGTCTTGCTCTGTCTCCCAGGCTGGAGTGCAGTGGCGTGATCTCAGCTCACTGCAAGCTCCACCTCCCGGGTTCACTCCATTCTCCTGCCTCAGTCTCCCGAGTAGCTGGGACTACAGGCGCCTGCCACCACGCCTGGCTAATTTTTTTGTATTTTTAGTAGAGACGGGGTTTCACCGTGTTAGCCAGGATGGTCTGGATCTCCTGACCTCGTGATCCGCCCGCCTCAGCCTCCCAAAGTGCTGGGATCACAGGCGTGAGCCACCGCGCCCAGGCTGTTTATGTCTTTTTTTTGTTGTTATTGTTGGCACTTTTATTTTGACTTATAGTATAGTTTTCAATCCGCTTGATTTGTCGATCATTATGATCTCTAAGATGTGTATATCTACTCATCTCTTTGTTCCCTGCACATTTAGCAGAGTGTGTTATTCAAACTACATATTCATATTTATTTAGATAGGGTGTCCAGCTACAATTGGCTTGTAGACAGATTTTGATAGAAAATTTTTACTGCACAAATTTCAGAATTAATTATAGGACACAAGTTTATTGAGTGTGAAATCACAGATGCAACAAAAATAATTTTATAATTTTCTAAAAATGAACATAGCAATTCCATGCTGTGTGTAGAATTTAGTAATTTATTTTTGAAGTAAGATATGCAGAAAAGAAAACAAAAACTAAACATTGTGTTTGTTTTCCAATGAGTCAGTAGAATTTAGCAATCTTTTATCAAAAGAAGAGGGAATTTTATGTTTAAAACCTTTTGGGGGCCAACACAGGAGGATCGCTCGAGCTCAGCCTGGGCAACACAGGGAGACCCCACCTCTACAATTTTTTTTTTTTAAGTTAGCCAGGCAGATATAGTGGAACATACCTGTGGTCTCAACTACTTGGATGGCTGAGGCAGGAGGATTACTTGATCCCAGGAGTGGCTGCATGCCACTGCACTACAACCGGGGTTACAAAGAAAGACCCTGTCTCAAAAAATAAATAAATAAAATAAAACTTAAGATATGTATGAAACCATGACATGTGCCTGCTGTTTTGAATGAAAATACCGTTTATATTTAGAATATAGTTAAGTAAAAAAATACTAAATTATGACTAAACTACCAATTCCACACTTTATTTAAACTACTAAACAGAAGAGTTTAGCCATTGAGATATAATGGCGAAGGGCCTGGTTTTTTTTTTTTCTTTCATATTTTAAAGGGAGAAATAAAAAACTGATTTTTCAGTAATAATTATGGGTAGTTTTGATGAAAAAAAATGAGCTCATGCTCCTCTATCTTTGTTACAGGCAGCTTTTAAAAATGGTGGTAGTTGATGGGTACTTTGGCTCTGATGGCATTAATGGTGTATCTCATGCAGTAAACTTGAAAGCTTTTCCAGGTTGCTCATCCTATATTCCAACTTTTTGCAAAATGCTTTTTTTTTTTTTCCTTAGCACTTAAAATGCTGTGTAAATGCTGCATTTCCAATACAGCCTAATGTTTATTTCTAAAATATTTACTATCAATTGTTCATATTTTTTTCAGCCCCTTAAGACTTTTATTTTTCACAGTGCAAAATAGCATATATGACATTTAAATATATGTATATATTTATAATATATTATTTATTTACAACATGCAAGAGATTCATGTTTAATTATTTAAAATAGGAGACAACATGAAACAATGAACAATATTAAAATAATTCACTTTGTGTTCAGTAATAAGATAACACATAACCATTTAAACATTTTATATGCATCTTCATAAAGTACAAAAAGAAAATATAAAGTCCAGCTTTCTGCTAATGAAGATATTCCATATTTATAGGAAAATAACAATATTATATATAATGAATTCAGTTATAATTTATTTCTATATTATAGAAATTATAAATCATTGGATATTGACCTTATTAATAAAATCCTAGTATCATAGTATCATTTTGATTGATGGAGCCAATTATCTGCATTGCTACAGGACAAAAAAAGTACCAGGATTCATTTATTTGATATATAGTATGCATTTGCTCTGTTTTCCATTGATGTTTTACTAGTAAGAATACCAAATTTTGGAGATATCAAAAAAGTCAAAATTAAAACTAAAGTGCTTTTAAATTACCTGAAGTCTTTTTTAAGCATTGATATATTAATGAATGTGTTGCAATGTTAACTTACACATAACACTTATTAATAAATGACATTTTTTCATTTGATGATATGACCCACTCAGAAGATTCTGTAATTTGCACTGGAAATTAAAAAAAAAAAAAAAATACCAAATTATGGAGAAGGAAAACTAGTCTTTCTTTAGCCTGTAGCAAATCCAAACACTGGTTTCAAGAAAACACAAGAAAGAGATCTAGGAAGAAAAATCTATTTTATCTTTTTTGTATGACCTATAGTTCTCTCCTGCTATGCTCAAGCAGCTGTTGAAAATTATTTATTTCTGATCTTCACCTAGGCATTAAAACTTACCTGAGATCTATTTTGAGAAACAGTAGAGTAAATTGAATCAAATACTTAAAACATTTTATTTTAAAGGAAAAGAAAAATATCCCAAAGATGTTATGGTTTTATGAGATCTAAGGAGAAATCAAATCTTTAGAGGTAAGGGGTTGTAAGCACTTTTAATAAATAGAATACAAATTCTTGTGGCATAAATGTTTATTTTGAGGATACTGTATTTCATTAATGTAGTCAATAACAATTGTAGCTAACAAAATCCTTTAAAGATATGAATTACTAATTTCATTATAAATATGGTTAATGGTAAAATTTCTATGTAGCTATGTATTGTTACCTGTTGTTGAATAACTAAATATATTAGTCCCTCCTTGTCCCATGGTTTCAGTTATTCATGGTCAACTACGGTCCAAAAATAAGTATATATATATATAATATTGTACTGAGGGCAGTAGTAATTAATTTTAATTATAATTAATTAATATTAATATAATATTGTACTGAGGACAATATTAATATTAATTATAATTAATTAATATTAATATATTATTGTACTGTCCTCAGTACAATATTATATATACGCAGTGTAATAATATTGTATATTATATATACGCAGTGTAATAATATTGTATATTATATATACGCAGTGTAATAATATTGTATATTATATATACGCAGTGTAATAATATTGTATATTATATATACGCAGTGTAATAATATTGTATATTATATATACGCAGTGTAAAATTGTATATTATATATACGCAGTGTAATATTGTATATTATATATACGCAGTGTAATATTGTATATTATATATACGCAGTGTAATAATATTGTATATTATATATACGCAGTGTAATAATGTATATCATATATACGCAGTGTAATAATATTGTATATTATATATACGCAGTGTAATAATATGTTTAGAGAAAAAGAGGAAAGGGACCACCTTCTCATCACATAACATTTATTGCAGAATGTTGTTATAATTGTTTTATTTTATTATTAGTTATTGTTGTTAATCTCTTACTCTGCCTAATTTATAAATTAAATTTCATCATAAGTATGTACACATAGGAAAAAAACATAGTGTGCATAGGAAAAAAACATAGTGTGCATAGGAAAATACATAGTATACATAGCATTTGGTACTATTCTTGGTTTCAGGCATCTCCTGGAGGGTTTGGAATATATCTTCCATGAATGAGAGGAGACTAGTGTACCCCCAAACATAGCAATTTAGAGAACACAGTTTTTGAGGATTAGGGATGCAGGTGCATGTTTGTTAGTGGTTTTGGCTCAGGGTCTCTCACAAGATTGCAGAGGCTATAGTCATCTCAAAGCTCAACAGGAGCTTCCAAGCTTGCATGGTTTTTGAAAGGCTTCAGTCTGTCATAAGCTTCGGTTCCTCCTAAAATGGAAGTCCTTGTCTTTTAATCTAGGAAATTACATACCATCAATGTTTCATTATGCTTTCGGGCACGCAAAACAACTCTGGTACAAGGGACTACATAGGATGTGAATGCCATTAGCTTTGGAAACTATTGGGAGACATTTTGGTGCCTGCCTATATCCTTCTATTTCTTTTTATGCCTACTTTCTAGAAAGACAAAGTCATCTTATAATGAGAAAGAAGGTTTACAGTTTGATAATATTTTCTTTGGTTTTTGAAAATCCAAAACTGCCAACAATTTCACATTTAGGATAATACCATTTTCTATTGTGCCGTACATAGTATACATACACGTATACATATATAAGTATATGTGTGTATATATAAACACATATATGTGTATATATGGGTATGTGTATATATATATAATAGATGTGTAATTTTATATAGCTTTTAATATTGCCTTACTTAAGCCAGAAAAAAATGTTTAGAAGTTAGTTTCTATTGTTAAACTGCCCATTGGAAATCCATGGCACTGGTGAAAACTAAGCTGACAAGTTATAATTTACTGAAATTTTACTTCCTTATTTTTTCAGTAGTTAAGAACTTGTGATTTAATCATGATGTGATGCTTCATCAGAATGAATTTTCTTCATGATTATATTACTCCATTTAAGTTTCAATGCATCTCAATTAGTCCCCTATGTATTAGGACAGTTTGGCAATTCAATTGTTTCTGAAACTAAATTTTATATTGAATGCCCTTCTGTATAAAGAACTCTTCTGTTGAGAAAATGCAAAATATATGCTAAGCACTTGAAGAATACAAAAATGATTAATATAATGCCTGCCAACAAGAAACCTTGATTTTGTCGGGGAAAAACAAGTATATCGGACATTCTGTTATTTGACTGAGGTAAGATAATTGTCAAAAGGGAAGTAAAAGAAAGTGTTTTGTGGTTTCAAGGAAGAGGGTCATCAAATGGCCTCTTACAAGGAGGGAAAGGACACATTTATGAATGAAGGCTCCTTTGGGCTAGGTCTTAAAGGATGATTAAGGTTTTCAAAGGGGTGAACTAGAATGGAGTGTTTCAGGTGGAGGGCATGAAACTAGCAGGAATGCGAAGGCCTGGAATAGGGAATTCACAAAATTGTCATGCTTGGGTGAAACTTAATGAGTAGGTGTGATATGATTATAAAAGCATCCTTCAGGTGTAGTAGGAATGATTTTTAAATACTAGTTTGAGGACTTAGTGCTTCATTTGGAAGGAAATGGAGATCAATTTTGAGCAATGAAGAGATGAGCAGATTTGTGCTTAGGTTAATCCAGCAACATATATCTGAATGAATTATAATAGGAAAAGAAGGGTGAACATTCATTAGGTGAAAAGAGCAGTCCAGAAGAATATAAAGTAATGCCAGGTAGATTCATTCCTACACTTCAAGTGTAGTATAATGATGGCATAACCCAGGATTCACAGTGAGAATGGGAAGAAGGGAACTGAAGTAAGAAACATGTAGAGGCACTAATAATATAAATCAATATTTATTATTGAAAAAGTAAAAAAGAGCCAAAACCATTTCCAACAAGCCTCAGCAATTGGGATGACCAGAGAAAATGGAAATAAAGATATAGGTTGGTTTAGAGGATGCAGTTATGAGTTTGAATTTTGGTCCAACAGCTGTAGAATTTAGTAGACCTATACCTTTGCATATTTTAACTACAAATAAATAACTGTCAATCTGTATTTCAAGAAAAACTTGGTGCTGGGTGTGGTGGCTCATGCCTGTAGTCCTAGCACTTTGGTTGGCCAAGGCGGGGACATCAGCTGAGGTCAAGAGTTCAAGGCCAGCCTGGCCAACACAGCGAAACCCTGCCTCTACTGAAAATGCAAAAATTAGCCGGGCATGAAGGTGCGCACCTGTAATCCCAGCTACTTGGGACGCTGAGGCAGGAGAATCGCTTGAACCTGGGAGGCAGAGATTGTAATGAGCTGAGACTGCACCACTGCAATCCAGCCTGGGCAACAGAGCAAGTCTCCATCTAAAAAAAAAATAAAAAGAAAAAGAAAAGAAAAGAAAGAAAGAAAAACTCCAAACTACAGCCAAAGACCACAATTTTGAATAGAATACTGTGAGAGTGAGTAGGAATGGAAGTAAATATAACACTTCAGTGAAAAAGTGATATAAGAAGGCAACATCAAGGAATGTCTAGATTGGGAGGATGCTTGAAATAAATGAAATCCACCCACCAAAGAGTGAGTTGGAACATTCACAGAAATAGGTTCTTTGTAATATCACTAAGATCCAAACATTGAAGGAACAGGTAATCAGCTATTTCTGATGCTACAGCAAATTTTAGGAGGTAATAAATCAGAAATAAAAGGACACAAGTTGTATTTACTCAAAAGCAGTTGGGAAAAAGCAGATGGAGGAAGAATGCAGAGTGTATAGCTTTAAAGATGAATGACTATTAAGTGGATGGAATTCCTATAATTACGCCACTCTTCCAAGAAGTGTAGGTGAGAGGAAGACAGAATGTGATAGCACAGGGAGATATTAACGTTGAAATTACTTTGGATTTCTTTTGAAGTCACCAACAGATTAAGTGTTGGAAGAGGAATGAAATTTTAAAAAATATTCCCAGCTCGAGGTACCTTTGCATGAAGCTAAAACTGTGATCTGATGAAGCAATATATTGTGATGTTATTTCTCTCTCACTTTTATCGTCATGCCAAGATATAAATGTTTCTCCAGTTAAGTTCTCATTTCAGCCATAGGAAAAATTCTTATCCTGATGTAATTTTGCTTAATGTTAAATTTTAAACACTAAAATTCAATCTCATCTTTTTCTTGTTTTATTTAGACAAAATCCTGCCAACCACGCTTTCATACAGCCTTTTTCACCTTGCCTTGATTTTTAAACCCATTATTATTGCCTCTATAGCTAAAATTGAAGAAAAAACTTGGGAACATAATACATTTCTCTGTAAACTAAATTCTTAACCAAATACAGTATTATTATGTTTAACTTTCAGGCTTGTTTTCGTGACATGGAGGAAGAGAATATTAGGTTAATTATCTTAATGATTTTATTTTGTTACTATGACCCGAGTCAAAGATCAATGAAATATAGAGATAGAACCATCATTTGGAAATTGAATACATACCACTTAAGAGTAAGAAAAGATTCTTAACACTGTTGCTTAATCTCTGGTCAATGAATGTTCCCAGAATGGCCATATTTGATTACATAACAGACTTGTCAGAATCTCTATCAGTTTTTTCAATTCCTAGTAACCTTCTAGTTAGACAGAAATAGACATTTTCACTTAATGTGAACATGTGACCGTTCTATTATTATTGCTTTATAGTGTGTGCATATATGTGTGTCTGTATGTACCTGTGATTATAGAATATGTAAAGGAAATATAGCTTAATGGAAGAACATAGAGTTTCATATCAGGAATCAGGAGTTCATTCTCAGGTTTGGCATTTATCTTTGTGCAAATTAAATGAAAACAAAACCCCTCTAAGTCCTATCTTTATCCACGAAAATGGAGGAAATGATACTACTTGCCTGTTAAGGATACTACATGCCTGTTGAGGCTTAAAACTGTGAGTTTATTATTTATTTATTTATCTATTTTGAGACAAAGTCTCACTCTGTTGCCCAGGCTGGAGTGCAGTGGTGCGATCTTGGCTCACCGCAACCTCTGTCTCCAGGGTTCAAGCGATTCTCATGCCTCAGGCGCCCGCCACCATGCCTGGCTAATTTTTGTATTTTTCGTAGAGATGGCGGTTTCACCATGTTGGCTAGGCTGGTCTCAAACTCCTGACCTCAGGTGATCCACCTGCCTCGGCCTCCCAAGTGAGTTTATTTACATAAACTCACAGATACTTTTAAGTTGCTAGGGCAACTTTTCTTAGAATACAGTATGGTTCATGAAGACTGGCCTTTTATAGCTTCCTTATATGCTGTCTCCTATGGTAAGAACAATGAACAAATTACTTTTGCTTTTAATATTATTTAAAAATAAATTCTGTCATTTAATTAGGATATGCTAATTGATATAACAAACAACTCCAAAATATCAATGAATTAACACAATTAAGTTCATTACTCATCTGATAAGACATGGCAAACCCTCCTCCAGACAGCTATTCAGGACCCCAGGCTGTTTCCACTTTGTGCCTGTTGTGATCAGCCAGCAGATGAAAGGAAATAAACATTGGGAAGGTACATAACATAGTCAACTACCTGGTTCAGAAGTGTACACATCATTCCACTGGTCAGAATTAATCCCATGGATGAACTTAGATACAAAGTGCTAGAAATTTGGTTTGTGACTAAAATATAATATGGACAAGAAGAACAAATTTAGGTGGTTACTAGAGAGTGACCAGCCATTCTGGTGTGCCTGTAATGTTCCCAGTTTTGGCACTGAAAATGCTGGGCAGGTGTGGTGGCTCAAGCCTATAATCCCAGCACTTTTGGAGCCTGAAGGAAGAGGATTGCTTGAGCCCAGAAGTTTGCGACCAACCTGGGCAACATGGTGAGACCCCATCTCTACCAAAAAATTAAAAATTACCAGGGTGTGGTGGTGCATGCCTGTTGTCCCAGCAACTCGGGAGGCTGAGCTGAGAAGATCACTTGAGCCCAGGAGGTCGAGGCTGCAGTGAGCTGTGATCTCGCCACTGCACTCTCACCTGGTTGACAGAGTGAGATCCTGTATGAAAAAACAAAGTGAACAAAAAATGCTGAATCTTGTGCATCCCTTCAGTCCTGAGCAAACCAAAACAATTGGCCACTCTAACTAACACTGTCAGGCATGCATGCCACAGGCTTGAATAAAATGCTTCATGAATATATGCTTACAATCCAAAATAGAGAAACAAGGCTAGCAAAAAGAACTCCAAGTTATTATCCAGGCAGTACAATTTCAACCTGAAAGGAGCTCAGGAAATAAGCAGTATAGAAGCCACCATTTTAATCATCATTCATTGAAGGCCTAGAATGTGGCAGGCCAATTATAAGTTATCACTAAGAGAACAGTGTTGTGAAGCAGGGAAAATACTCCAATTACAAGTTCAGAATTTGAGATTCAGAATGGTTAACGTCCAGTTCAAAAATCACACTCTAGTAGATAGATTCTAAAACAGCTACGAGTGCCAGGCTCTTTCCTTCATGTTGCTAATCTTAGGTGAATCTCCCCATTCCAATCCCCACCCTCCACAAATACAAAGATATATGTTTTATCTTCATATGATATGAATTCAAGTACTATTTTAAGTGTGTACAAATGTGATTATCTTCCAAATAGAGATACCATAGTTGACTAATCCTTGATTTCTGAAATACAATTTATTTTCTGGGGCAGTTTATTTATTTTATTTGCCTCTTAATACTAGATGAAATGGGACTAAATTGAACAGCAGTTGAATCCTACTTATGTTGCCTGGTGGTTTCAATGAAAAACATTCTGAATTACAGCTGAAAATATCAGAAAAAATGCCATCCAGTACAGTCCTTTAATATAGTTAAGTATTTAACAGACATTTGCTTTAGGATTAGATAAGAAATGCTTTCACTGCTTAGATTAAACTTTTCCACATTTTTTGATCATGGAACATATTTAAAAATTATGATAGGTACCCAAACATCAGCAACAAGTCATGAGGTATAATGAACATATCAATCAAATTTGAAATAAAAATGGTGTTATGAATAAATTCATAGCTATAATAAACAATCTACTTTTATTCATAATTTATACTTCACACATGAATGAAACAGAAACATAGGTAACATAATGTGATAAAAATATAAAATGCAAAGTAATACAGATAAAGCAAAACATCCTTTATTTAACATTTCTCAATAATTGTTTAAAAAATACCATTTTTCAAATGAGAATACCGCTGTATAACACATATCACCTTAAAATTAGATATGAGATTAAGGTGTATAAATCAGATATATGTCTTTGTATGTGTACGGTGTGTGTGTGTGTGTGTATGGTGTGTGTGTGTGTAGGGGGTGTGTGTGTGTGTGTGTCCCTGTGGATTTTATTGGCATTGCGGCACAATAAAAAAATGTCATTTCTAAAGGTATTTTGTAGCACAGGAAAAATTTTACAACTACATATTTTGAGTACTTCTCAAATTATTCAAAATTCATATTATATGGCATTAATTTTTTCTCTTTAGAAACGAAGCTGCTGGGCCAGGAGCCAGGGCTCACGACTGTAATTGCAGCACTTTGGGAGGCCAAGGTGGGAGAATCACATGAGCCTGGGAGGCGGGGGTTGCAGTGAGCCAAGATTGTGCCTTTGCATTACAGCCTGGGTGACAGAGTGAGACCCTGTCTCAAAAAAAAAAAAAAAAAGGGGGAAAAAAAAGAAAAAAAGAGAAGAAAAGAAGAAACGTGAAAAAGCTGTTTATATCATCTTCACAGTGAAATAGTCCAAATTTTGTCGTTTTTTAAAAAAAAGATTTGAGAAGCACAGATTCTTGCTTTTCATTTTCGACATGCATTGCCAATTTTAGTTGGTAAATATTTTTGATACATCAACGAACAAAACGAAAAAGTTAGTGTAGGTGATTTGTCAGGCCACATCTTGGAATTTATCGAGAATGTCACCTTTATGAAAGGAACAGGCATTATCTAACAAGCCTGGCTTATTCAAATATGCCTAGAGTTTGTTGTTGTTGTTGTTTTTTCCTCCCTATATTTAAAAATACGCAGGCCGAGTGCAGTGACTCACACCTGTAATCCCAGCACTTTGGGAGGCCAAGGCTAGTGGATCACCTGAGGTCAGGTGTTCGAGACCAGCCTGGCCAACATGGTGAAAGCCCGTCTCTACTAAAAATACAAAAATTAGCCAGGCGTGGTGGTGGGTGCTTGTAATCCCAGCTTCTCGAGAGGCTGAGGCAGGAGAATCGCTTGAACCCAGGAAGCGGAGGTTGCAGTGAGCCGAGATCATGCCATTGCACTTCAGCCTGGGTGACAAGGGCGAAACTCCGTCTCAAAAATAAATTAATAAAAACAAAAAATAAAAATACACTCTAGAGGAAAACATTGTTATCATCTCTCTGTGTTATATTTGTGAAACACGTGTTATAATCTTACAGAACTCAGTGTGGGGATTGCTAACTTAGCTGATGGAGTGTGTTGTCCTAACAGAACTATTGTAAACACATCTTTTTGAATATGGCTCCTCATAGAGGAACTGTTATGTGTGTTTTAGCATGCATATAATTCTTCTAATACATCCTGTGTTTCTTTCAGTATTGCTAAACTACTAACAGAGGGAAAAATAACGTAAGAACAAAATGGCTTAAGAGCCAGGGGCTCATAGATATTAGACAAAAAGAAGAGGGGACAGGCTGACATGAGAGCATCTAGAACAGCACCATAGTAACATCATCTTCTAAATTTGTTCACAAGAATTCCCCTGAAAACACCCAGCTTCCCAGATTTCCCATATGCAAATGTTCTAAGCATCTTTGGTCTTTATCACATATTTATACCCAGATTGTTTGAGTTTATGCTTGTAACTTGGATACACTTTGTGCTTGTAACTTAAGGGTTTAGAGAGACTATAGAATATTCTTGATTTATGGTGCAGCAGTTGGGGGATTGCTCCTCTCTAGGTCGTTCTTATATTCCTAGTAGTCTTTATTCAAATGCAATGGCACAGCTTCTGCTTCCCCAGAGAAGTGTTTCAGGATTGTTAGTTAGTTAGTTCTCAAGCTCTACCAACAAATTGCTTTCACATATCACCTCTTACTAGCTCCATGGCCTAAATGTTTTTATTTTGGTTCCTCATTGGATGAACCTGTAAATCACTTTCCTTCCTTGTGCTAGTGATGCCTATTATATATACCGCTTTGTAACCTGCCACACATCATTGACATTATTCTAGTGTGCATTTTTTTCCCTCCCTGCTCTTTGAATTCTGTTAATGCAGAGGCCATTTTTTATTCATCAATATATATTAATCTGTATCTACATTATATAATAGAGACTCAAAAATCACTGTAGAATAAACATGATTACACAAAATAATACTCCTCATCTAATTTTATCTTAATCGTACATTCAGTGTATCCATTAAGACTCTGAAGTGTTATATTAGACCTTTTTCTTATTTTATTATAACATATGGTAACTATATAATATGAATCCCAAATTTCTGCAAACATATATTATACAAGTCTTTATAGTTATGCTTCTAATTTTCTACTTATAAAATGAGCATTTTAGTCTAAATAAAATAGCAAAGACTATTCAATTGCTCAGAATAATTTATACTATTATAAACAAAGTGAATAGTAAAGAAAGAGTTTTAAGTGCATTATATGGAAGGGATTTACAGAACTGTTCAACTTAAAAATGAATTCAGACTAAATTTTAGAAAAAAGACATGCCAAAGATTTTACTTATACTTAGTTTTTGTTATTGCTGTTGTTGGAGGGTTTTGTTGTTGTTTTTGTTCTGTTTGTTTGGACCTGCTTCAGCTAAGAAAACCTCTCTAGTATTTGTACTTATTACCTCAGTAGGGCTGGTTTGCAGGGTATTTTTTCCCTTTAATATGTCTTCTATCTTATCAAACATGCTTTTTATTTGTGATTTCTCAGGCAATTTTTCTCTTTTCCTTCTTCCTGAAACAGGGCTATATAGATTGCACCAATTTTATGTTTTTTTCTGCCTGCTCTATCAGTTTTCCCAGTAGGTTTATTACTAGTGGTATAGATTGGATTTCTTGTTTCATGAGTCTAGAGGAAAAAGGTCTCGGCCCCTCTCTCCTTCCTTGAATTGGGATTATAAAAATTCAAACCACCATTTTATTCAAGCCAAGAATATGAAGCATCTGTTATTATTTAGAACTATACTTATAACTTTAAACATTCAGGGTAAAAGTTGATGTGTACATTAATGTTTCAACATGGAAAAATTTCTGTCACTCCTAAATAAAATACATATATGAATATTCCATGCCTTTTTAGTTACCCATTTTTATCATTTTTTTAAAATTTAGTGTTCTGTGCTTTAAAATTGGATGCTTGAAATAGTTGTGTTCTCTCCATTTTGTCATGTCTATTTTTCTATGTGCTTAAGAATATTTTTACTATCAGAACAGATCATTTATTATTTATGTTAAGATAAGTTTGGGATTTGCTTCTCAAGTCGTGTTATACACACAAAGTGACATTTCCAGAAGTTTTCATATCAAAAATAAGAAACAAACTTATCTTTCTTAGATATTGTGGGGGCTAAATTTAAAGATACCAAACATATATATTTGCTTTCCCCAGCCATAGCATTTTTAAACTTCAGTGATTGAAAAATACAGAACTGGAGTGCTCTATTGACACAAGGAGTGAAACATGTTTTTGCTTTCTGATGTAAAAGCCACAAATATCTCGCAAGTTATCAGCCATCAAAGGAAAAATGTAAATAACAATAACTGTCATGGAGAGCCCAACACTGGCCTGTGCCTTTCCTCATTTTACTTTCAGATATATTCTTTGAGGTAAGTAATACTAGTTTTCCAGTTTTATAGACAGAAAAGGGAAGCTTAGGGAATTTAAACTCAGTTGCCCAAGATTATGTAGCCAATTAATGTAGGAGTCAGAATTCAAAATCCAAGTTGATCTGATTCTAGAGCTTATTCCCTTAACCATTATCCTATGTTGTATATGTTATAATCATAAGTTATAAAAAGTTCTGCTCGAGCATAAATATGGTTACAGCATATATGCAAGTATTTCACATTATTCTCTGTTCAAAAATAAATGGATATTATATCTTTATCCACGTAACAAAACATATAAATGAAATTATAAAATTATTTATGAGATGTTACTATGATATCGATTTACAGTCAGAGGGAAAGGCAGTAATTATAGTTTTTCTTTTTTTTTTTACTGTTTACTTATATGTAGTCGTCACTGAAAATACGTTAATTAATTTATCCATTAAAAAACTAAATTCTTGAAGTAAAGCAGCTGTGTAAAGGAAGCAAGTTCTGAATTTGTGTGTACATAAATAACTGTTTGATTCAGAAGGGAAATTTGCATTAACATACAATATACAATAGTCTCATTCAAAGAATCATATAAACCTTAAATTAAAGAAGCTTCTTAATTTTTACAAAATATAAAATCCTGTGATTGTGTTAAGGCGTCAATATGTTTTAGTTTAAATTTTCTTTTTCTGTTTCATTAAATATAAATCTAGATAAATGTTATTCAGCCTTAAAAAAAAACAGTATTTAAGCCAGGTTTTTCTATAACTAATTAAAACTAACTTACTCTTTGTCAGATGAGACTGAAAAATATAATTACACTACTTAACATTCCTTATTAACTTCATCTTTTCAAACTACAGAAATTCAGTGATCTGTAAAACCATGAGGTAATTTATGTCAAAATGAAATAAGGTTCTTTCATGTTCCAGTTGAGTTAGTTAAAATTATTTTTGGTTTATATTATTTGTAATCTAAGTGCTTACTGTGTTTTTAAGGTTTTTGGCAGGTTATGTGGGTCCCTGTTAAAGCAGTTACAGTCAAGAAATGTGCTGATTCTAACATAAAAATTATAGAAAGCTTGGGTATACACTTTATTTAAGCATGGGTTAGTTGGAATTCAAAGATGTCATACACTGTACTCACTAGCATCATTTGTTCTTTCTTCCATGAGTAAACTTTAGGAAATATTATCCATATTTACCAAATATATAGCTGACTAATAAACTATATTACATTCAACTGACACATTGGGCTTGCTAGCGTTTGCCATAGTCATTGTCCACTTACATGTCTGTTCCTGCTTGTCAAGGAATATTCACAAACATTGAACAATGGAGTCAATAATATCTCCCTTTGCATAGCGCATTAGAGCTTATAAAGCACTGTTACACATGCCTGTGCACCTGCTTACAAAATCATCCATGTCAAATGACCGTCGTAGGTTATTTTTCCTAAATTTGTTCAAATGATAATAGACGGAGTTTATATTAAACAAAGTTATCAATTCTGAATGTTTTCGCTATATCATGTTTCAAAAAAAAAAACACATTATTTCTAGAATTCAGGAGATGGCTGAGAACTTTTGTATCATTGCCCGGTAGCTCTTCTTTTAGTGGGTGAGAAAAATTAGGTCCATAAACGTGAAATGCCATGCTCAAAGAAATAAAGATTTTCTGGCTCTGAATCTCTCTACTGTTTCCGCACTTTGCCAACACATTCTTCACAGGTGGGTGCTCAAGGGCTTTATGGTTAAGCCAGTGAGTGACTAACACTAAATAACCAGCAAATGAAGCTCATTTTAAGTCAAACTCAAGACTTTTGTAAAAATAATAATTTTACAGTAAATATTTTCTTTTAAGCAATTTACATTATTCTTGAATAAGTTTTCATATCAGATAAAAATGTCTTTGTGAGTTATACATTGACTTCCAAAAATATTTTTAAAATATTTTGCACTAATTTCCATTGTATGGAGTGAAGATCACAGGTTGATTCACTTATATGTTCAAATTGTTACATACTAAATAGTATTTAATAGCAAACCAGTTGCTAAATTAGATGTACAATTATGATTATCTAACTTAAAAATTAAAATATTTTGCAACATATTTAAATGCCAATAACTTCCTAGTTTTTATCCTTATTCAAAACTATTGCAATATAGCAGAATAAAGCAAGTTTCCAATTATTTTATTTGCTATTAAACTTGATAGCTTATGAAACATTAAGATTAATCCTCCTTGTAGTTTTATATTTTGTCCAAATTGTAGTAATTTTATTTTATGCCTATGCTACCAATACACATGATTTAGTATAGTAAATTGAATTTTAAGAGAAATTGAGAACAAAATAAGTCAGCAAAGCTAATTTTCTATCTGTACCCCAAAAGCCAATGTACCAAACATGAAAACATCCTTAATTGAATATAGAAGTTACCCAGAGGGAAACTGGGCAATAAGTTTCTCATTGTCAGAACTGCAAACACTTTTTAGAAAGCGTTGTTTCTTACATTAGGTTAAAATTATGGTATGTATGCAACTATAAGCCCTACATTAATCTGCTTGGTTGAAAATGGAGATACTTTACTGTTTTTTAAAAATGCTAGTGTATATACCCTGGAAAAATGTATGTTAAACAACTATTTTATGTACTACTTTTAGCTAACTTATAGTAATTATAGACTAACGACAGCTAGGCATTAGTTTTTCACGACATGTCTTTCTCTTAGTGCATCTTTTTCTACTTAGTGCTCTTAATATATATTCATGTGATGCTTTTATGACACTATTTTTTTTGTTGTTGTGGTTGTTGTTGCTTTTTCTTTTTCCTTTTTTTTTTTTTTTTTTTTTTTAAGACGGAGTCTCGCTCTTTCACCCAGGCTGGAGTGTAGTGGCGTGATCTCGACTCACTGCAACCTCCGCCTCCCGGGTTTAAGCGATTCTCCTGCCTCAGCCTCCTGAGTAGTTAGGACGTCAAGCGCCCGCCACCAAGCCCGGCTAACTTTTTGTATTTTTCGTAGAGATGGGGTTTCACCGTGTTAGCCAGGATGGTCTCAATCTCCGGACTTCGTGATCCCACCTTGGCCTCCTGAAGTGCTGGGATTACAGGCGTAAGCCACCGCGCCCAGCCTATTATCTCTTTTTAAAATTCGTTTTATGTAAGTAGTTAGAATAACTGAGAAGTTTCACTGGAATAATTTTAATATTCTATAAATATAAAATTATCTTCTAATAAACATCTTTTAAACTTGACTACCACTTTTATATTTCATAGTATATTTTATTTGTATTATTTCTAAATTTAAAAATGAGCAAACGTTTTCTTCATATAAAGATTCATTTATTTTGATTCAAAAATCAGAATGTTTTCAGAATAATAATAAAGTCAAATATTTTTAGATAATTACCTTAAGCTAGACATTGTAAAAAGAGCTTTACATAAAATAGTTAAAATATTTAATCTTCTAGTGGAACATTTGAGATAGGTATATTATAGATATAATAACAATGAACTTGCTAACATTGCCAATAGTTACGCAGCCTGTTAGTGGCAAAGAGGTTTTAAATCCAGTTCTGCTGGAATATTTGCCCAAACCAGTCTTAACTTGAACATAGATCTCAATCATAAAATTATCTCCCTATAATTTTATTTTTAAAACAGATACCATTTATATGCATACAGAATTTTTTTTCTTTTTTCCTTTCAAATCATTTTGCTATTACACTATTAAAATAATTCAACTTTGTAAAGGGGCAGAGATAGAAAAAAACCCAAACCCTTGTATTCATAGGATATGTGAGGCGTTATATCAGTTCCTTATGTGGGTTTCCCATTCATCCTCATTAGAATAATCTGCACTGGGTATTTTTATTTCCATTTTACAGATGAGGAACCCTAATATCAGAGAAGGTAAACAAAACATGCTGTCATAGCTACACAATTGACATATTTTAGAGGCAGGATTTAAATTCGATGTGATAGAATGTCAGTAGCTTTGTTCTTTGTATTGAACCATCCATATTTGACTGTGACCTTCTCCCTAAACTGCTTTTCTCAACATGTGGAGGGATCAATAATGAATGCATGACAAGTGTCAGGCTTGAGGTAGATACTTTTATTAGTTTATCTCATTTAATTTTCATATAAACCATGCTATTTAGAAATTTGTTGTTTTATGTTAGAACTAAGAAAACTATGAATTAAAAAAATTGTATAATTTACCTAAGGTCTTACAGTGCCAATTAGTATCTTAAAGTACAAATTTATCTTATTTCAAAATTTCTGAATACAAAACTCTCTGGAGACCTTTTGGACTCCTCTGTTAATGCAGGGAAAATAAAATATATTTCAGTATATACAAGAAAGAAAATAGAAATCTCGTGATATTTGATGTGAGCATACAGAAGACTGGTATACTCAGTTATGTAAGAACTAAGAATTCCATCTCCTTATTAGACAGGTCTCAATTTTTCTAGTAACAGTGAGAAAACTCAAGAAATCAGGAAACAAGATAGAATTATCCTCCTATCACTAATTTCCACTACAGGACTGTCATTCATTTGACATCTCAACTTTTTAAAATATATTCCAAAATTATTATCCAAATCCCTAGAATATGTATAGCTTATTAATGTGATATTCCAATTTATTCACATACTGTTTTACCGAAATAAAACAGTATGTGAATAAATTGGAATATCAAATTTAATGTGTTTTAATACTATTATAACACGTATTTAATACTATTATAACATTTATTTCCTTCTCTATTTACAAATTATAGACTAAAATTTGGCTGCTTGTAAGCTTTAGTTATTAAGTGGAATTATACTTAAATTTTATTTCTATTTGAAGAACATATTATTTTAGAAGTTTTTTAAATATATAAAATAATAAATTGTGCTTGCTTTTGGTTTGAATTACATTTGGTATTGAAAAGTTTGTCATTTTACTGGTTCTATACATATTCTAGCAATAAATCAAATACAGTTTGAGTATCATGGACATTTATGAGCTGAATTATTCATGCTTGGCATTTCATAAATCCAAAGAAAATTCTAAGTGTGAAAAAATGGTCTTTCTATGGTGTGGTAATAGTTATTTCTTGAGATGGGCCGAGAGTCTCTTTGTTAAGGATCTTTCTCTTAAATGATGTCCACCTGATAAAAGTAGATGCTAATCGTTCTTTGTGTCAGTTTGATGGTTTACTTTGCTAAGTTTCACAAAGCAAAAAAGGGTTTATCTTGGACAGTATGAATTTGAAAGGTATATATATTGGAGGTGGCCAAGGCCATTCGTGTAGTGATTCTCTCTGTTAGAACAGTGAGCAGTGTGTTTCTCACCATTGTGATCTTGAAATGGAGTATTCATTTAATGCTAAAGAGTGAGAGGCTTTTATCTTTGGGAAAGTTATCCTTATTCATTCCATTTCTAACTCTTCAGATCCATTCTCAACCTGCTCATCTCTCTACAAACTCTTGGTACTTTGCTCTCTGAAAATCTTCTATTGCCATCAAACTGAATCTTCACCTTGTATCTGACTAGTGACACTTCTTCTCATAAAAGACTTTCAATAGGACATTTCTCATGTTCCTTCACATTTAGCATCTTACACAGGTGGAAGGGCTGATGTTTTAATAGCACTTCTTCACCCACTCACACTCATTTTTCTAACTTGAAAACTGGGCATCATGCTAAAGTATTTCAATAAACCGCAGATGTCAAATTCTTAACTCTCACAGATTTGTTTTTTTCTCACTTCCTCTGCTCCAGTCTACTTCAGCAACCCACTCCTCTGGTCCCCAGGACGTAATCGTTTCCAGAACTTTTCTGCATTAAGTATCTTAAACTCCAAGATTCACTCTGACTACCTCTCAACCTTGATATCACTGCTCCTCTAGTTTCGCCTCTTGAAACACTTAGACAATTCATTGCTCCCTCCTATTCTAGTCACACAACCTTTCCTATGTTAATTTCTTTTGTTATGTAACCTAGATCAAACGGCAAGACAACTCCACCGTGCTCTGACCAGAAATTTTCATTTATATGCTCTGTTATTCTCAACCTTCAATGCAACCTCAATGAATGGATCCTGACATCATTTGTAAGACACTGGTAAAGACAATGCCAAGGACATACGACCAGCATATTTTGTCCACGGATCATTTTCAACCTCAACTGTTTATTGATCATTACCAATGTCAATAATAGACTGCTTTTCTCACTGCTAATGAAAATCATCTTTGTTTTTATGAACTTTTGAGCCATCTTCTGCTGTCTCCATAGAAATTGCCATGCCATCTACTTAACTGAACTAATAAAACCTGTCAAACAGGATATTCCTTGAATTCCCTTGACCCTCCATCTTACTTATATTTATATATCTACATTCTTCCTCCCAATCTCAGAGAAAGAGAACTCCATTTACAGCCCACACCTTTCCCTCCCAGCCAGGTCTTCAATCTTGGCGTACACGAGTCCTCCATTACCCTGGTTTGTGAATTAAGTTCTCTTTTCTGAAACTCTTTCCGTCTCTCCCCTGAGAAACTCCTACCCTAAAAAACTAAATATCTTTCCATCCTGTATCAGTCATGGTTGCAGCAGAAAACAGATGGTATACTAAAATTAGTTTAACTTGAGTGGAATTTTATAAAGGGGGTATTTACAGAGAGGTGGGGACGATGTAAGGAAAGCAAAAGGGAGAGTGAAGTACTACAGACCAGTAATTGTGGCACCTTTACCACCTGGCAGTGTGAGGTTAATGTTGAAGATTTGCTGTGGTTACTGGACTAGGAGGCAGATAAAGCCCTCTGGAAAGGACGGCCTGACAGTGACTGTGATCTGAGGTTGATAGATTCAGCCACTGGCCCACTCACAGATGTGAAGCGACGGCCATAAACACCCAGAACTCATTTCTTACTCACCTTTCTTTCTCCCATCCTACGAGCATCTGCACTGATTTAACTCAACAGGCAGTCAAAAGACAAGGGAGCCAATTGAGTTAGTATGTCAGCCTTGCAGGGCATAGCGCAGGTAAGAGAAGGCTGGAAGGTGAATGTGGAGATGAACAAGTGAAATATTTATCTTATCTTGATTTTCTTTACCTTCTCAGCTCTTCTCAGCAACTTGTGGATCCTGGAACTTAATCTTTCAGGTGTTCTGTCTAACTGTGTTCTGTGTTCCCCTTACCCGAAGTGATTTTTCTATCTTCAGATATTTCTTTATTATTATTATCATTATTATTATTATTTTGAGACGGAGTCTCGCTCTGTCGCCCGGGCTGGAGTGCAGTGGCGCGATCTCGGCTCACTGCAAGCTCCGCCTCCCGGGTTCACGCCACTCTCCTGCCTCAGCCTCCCGAGTAGCTGGGACTACAGGCACACGCCACCACGCCCGGCTAATTTTTTGTGTATTTTTTTTTAGTAGATACGGGGTTTCACAGTGTTAGCCAGGATGGTCTCGATCTGCTGACCTCGTGATCCGCCCGCCTTGGCCTCCCAGAGTGCCGGGATTACAGACGTGAGCCACCACGCCCGGCCCAGATGTTTCTTTTCTAATATTGTTTTATCATTTTCATCAGGTAGTGAATTATCCCCTTTTGTACATTTCTGTAAAAAGCTTTACGTATCTCCAGTATAGGAATTTTTTCATTTTATGGTCCTGCAAATGCCTTTATAGCAAAGACTGTATCTCATGTCTTGATACATACTGTATTTATCATTGCTTGGTTCATGTTAGATACTCACTAATTATGTGTTTTATTAATTTTCAGGATGTTTCTCTTTCTATCAGTACTGAGTTCCCTAATGATAAACTGGTCATCTATATGCCAAATACAGTTTGTCATGAGTAATCCATTTAGGGTACAAATAAATAAGTGGCTATATTTGAAATGAAAATCACTTTCTAGAAGGTTTGGTAGTCCCAGTTACTGGTTTTTTTTTTTTATCTTGAGTTGCATAAATTGGAAAGGATGACCTGGAAACAAGGTCACAAAGATAACATTGGCATGAAAGACAATTCAAGGAAATTTGTGGGCAGAGGACCACATTGCCATTTTGGTGAAGCAGCTTTTCTTTCTTCAATGCTGTTATTGCAAAAGCACAGACAGAGAAAGTCATGTGGGGACGCTCAGAATCAAAAGAGACAAATTTACCACTAAAGACACATGCAGAATGTACTAAAATTATGGGTCTTATTTTTAAGAAAAAAATGTAAAAGAAACAATCTACCACAGTATAATAATTTTGAATTTAAATATATACATTTAATCTACTGTGCATTTTCTCTTCAGTAGTATATCTATCAATTCTGTATGCATTGCAATGAAATATTTACCTGTCTCTCCCTTTAATCATCGGAGAAGTCTGCATTCTTATATTAAGAATTGTGCTAGAGTAGGTTTTGTCACATTGACAATGTGGAATATCATCTTTTGACTTTTAGGAATAGTTTTTTTTCAAATGACTTCATTTTTCACATACTATACGAGCATTCCTGCATGACTTACCTTGAAAAAGAGAATAAAATGAACTAAATATACATGCTTTGACATCAGTGGCCTTCCTTCCTGCCAATTTAATGAAAGACTCTACAATAAACTTTTCATGGCAATTGTGAGAAAATAACATTTCTTTTTCTTAATAAATCTTGTTTTTCTCTTGCATGCTGAGAGATTTTCAGTAATATTCTCTCTATATATCTTTTTTTAGTTATCATTGTTTGCATAGAGGAAAAGAGAGAATAAGGAAAAATTCTACTTAAAAAAATTACAGATAAAAAAACATAGCTGATGTTTTGCTTTCGTTTTTAATTAAGCCAAATCAAAAGCTATGTCTCCATTCTTCTGTGCTATCATTTTTGCTTTTTGAGATGATAAAGTCACGTTGTTTTTACAAAAATATGAAATTAACTAGTTGTGAGGACACTATTCTCTAGCTGCCAACAGTAATTAAAAATTGGGTTTATTCCCTAACGACGCATTACATTTCACACTTCCCTGATTGGAATTTTACTCCCAAGGTGCTCACTGAATGGGAATTTAAAGTTTATTTTTAGGTAGCTTCTTTGTGTTTACACTGTTTTCTTTCATAGAGACAGATATAACTAAATGCCATGGTAGAGAATTTTCCACACTCTGAATTAAGTTGTTAGGTGTGTTGAAATATACCCAAGACAAGCATTATCCCCTTTCTGTAGCCACTCACAAACATGTTTGGCATAAAATCTGTTATTCCTTATTCCTTGTTATTCCTTGTATTGTAACTATATTCCCTGTATTTCCTGATGCGGTTATATTGTCAGGGACTAGAATATTGGAGCAAATAAAATGATAGGGAAGAAATGATCTAGAAAGGGAAACTATGTAGTAGAGAAAGGAGTGAGAGAAAAGCAAGGGAAAGAATGACAGTTTGAGGTTTTATGAAAGTGTTTTCTGACCAATTAAAAGTTTCTGAATATGTGTAGTTTGTGTGTGGGGAAAGAGAATGCAAGTACAATATATCAGGATCAAAAAGAGAAATGGCCTAAGTGATTAGGAATCAAAAGCATATGTAGGTTATTCAAACCAGTGTGCCACAGGGTAGTTTTGAAACCCACTTCTGAGGCATGCATTGTCATGTCTTCCTTTATATATGTCCATTATTAATATGCTAATATTGGTATTTCCAATATTTATGGTCATCACGTTTTTTAATTTTTAATTTTTGTGAGTACATATTAGGTGTATATATTTATGGAGTACAATGAGATATTTTAATATAGGCCTACAATGTATAATAATCACATCAAGGTAAATGAAGTGTCCATCAACTCAATTACTTATCCTTCCTTTGTGTTATAAACAATCCAATTATAGTCTTCTAGTTATTTTTAAAGGCATGCACAAGAAATTATTGTCTACTGTGTCACCCTGTTGTGCTGTCAAATGCTAGGTCTTATTCATTCTATCTAACTATATTTTTGTGCATATTAATTGTACCCATTCCCCCTTCTTGCCCCCCACACTACGCTTCCCAGCTTCTAATGAGTTCAGTTGTTTTCATTTTTAGCTCCCCAAAGTATGTGAGAACATGGGACCTTTGCCTGGCTTATTTCCCTTAACATAATGACCTCCAGTTCTATTTATGTTGCTGCAAGTGACAGGATCTCATTCTTTTTTACGGCTAAATAGTACTGTCTTGCATATATGCACCATATTTTCTTTATCTATTCATATGCTGATGGACACTTAGTTTGCTTCCAAATCTTGGCTATTGTGAATAGTGCTGCAATAAACATGGGAGTGCAGATATCTCTGACGTATTTCCTTTCTTTTGGGTCTATACCTACCAGTGGGACTGCTGGATAGTATGATAGCTCTATTTTTTAGTTTTTTGAGGAACCTCCATACTGTTCTCCATAATGGTTGTACTAATTTACATTCCCACCAACAGTATACAAGGATTTCCCTTTCTCCACATACTTGCCAGGATTTATTATTGCCTATCTTTTAGATAAAAGACATTTTGCTTTTTTTTTTTTTTTTTTTTTTTTACCTCCTGAGACAGAGGCTTGCCCTGTCACCCAGGCTGTAGTGCAGGGCACGATTTTGGCTCACTGCAACCTCCACCTCCTGGGTTCAAGCAATTCTCCTGCTTCAGCCTCCCAAGTAGCTCGGATTACAATTGCCCACCACCACACCGGGCTAATTTTTGTATTTTTAGTAGAGACGGAGTTTCATCATGTTGGCCAGGCTGGTCTCGAAGTCCTGATCTTGTGGTCTGCCCGCCTTGGCCTCCCAAATTACTGGGATTACAGGCATGAGCCACCATGCCTGGCTGATAAAAGCCATTTTAACTAAGGTAAAATGGTATCTCGCTGCAGTTTTAATTTGCATTTTTCTAATGATAGTGATTTTGAGCACCTTTTCGTCTACCTGTTTGCCACTTGCATGTCTTCTTTTGATAATTGTCTATTCATATTTTTGCCCATTTTTAAATCCGATTATTAGATTTGTTTCCTACAGCGTTGTTTGAGCTCTTTATATATTCTGGTTATTAATTCATTGTCTGATGGCTAGATTGCAATTATTTTCTCCCATTCCGCTGGCTGTCTTTTCAGTTTGTTGACTGTTTCCTTTGCTATGCAGAAATTTTTTGACTTGATATTTACCCATATGTCCATTTTTGCTTTGGTTTCCTGTGTTGTGGATTCTTCCTCAAGAAATGTTTGCTTAGTCCACTGTCCAAGAGAGTTTTCCCCAAAGTTTTCTTGTAGTAGTTTCATAGCTTTAGGTCTTAGATTTAAGTGTTTAATCCATTTTCGTTTGATTTTTGTATATGGGGGGAGATAGGACTCTAGTTTCATTCTTCTACATGTGGGTATCCTTTTTTCCCAGCACAATTTATTGAAGAGACTGTTCTTTCCCTAAGGTATGTTTTTTGCACTTTTGTCAAAAATGAGTTCTCTGTAGATGTATGGATTTGCTTCTGGGTTTCTCTGTTCTGTTCCATTGGTCTATGTGTCTGTTTTTATGCCAGTATTTGATCATTACTTTTATGAAATCTACTTTTTGAGTAGTAATTACTATTCTTTATGCTTTTCCTCTAAAAATGTTTTTCAGGAAAATATCTATTCATTGCTTTAAGCAATCTAAAGTTATAGAATAAATAATCGTAACTGCTGTTTTATCTGCCTGTAACATAGAGAGCACAGTGCTAAGCATTCTCCTTCATAGTTATTATCCATTACATTAGCATTAATGACTATGTATCACTATCCCTCATTTAAAAATTATGTAAAAAGAGAAATACACCTTTAAGTAAAGGACATATAAGAATGTTAGGTTTTGGTTGTCATACATTATTTCTTACCTATGCTTGGTTTTTGTTTGCTTGTCTGTTGTTTATCATTCTGTTTGATTCTGAGTATTTCCTTCTGTGGTTCTGAAGCACTGTTCACATCTCCAACATAATGTGCAGCATTTCTTCAAACAATCTAGAGAGTAGCACTGGAATTTAAACTAGACATACATGTAAAAAAAAATCATTATTAGAAAGAATGTTTTAAAATAAACTAGATAAATTTTAAATAATTATAAGCAGTTGATTCAGGAGTAAAGAGGAAAAAAATAACTTAACGACTTAAAATAAGCCTTTAAAAAATAACTTAAAGACTTAAAAATAACTTAAACTTAAGCTCCAATAACTCTTGGAGCTATTGACAACTATGAATTTGTAATGAACTTTTCTACCCACTCAGGAGACTAGGATAGTTTCTAAAAGCCATTTGGGTTCTCTTGCCTATTAGGTTGGTGCAAAAATAATTGCAGTTTTTGCCATTACTTTTAGTAGCAAAAAAGAATGTTATCCTTCAAGCTAGAAGTAACTCTATTATATCCCGTTTTCTTTATAATTGCTTTTAATGGCAAAAACTACAATTACTTTTGCACAAACCTAATAGTTTAGTTATGTCTCTTATAACAATATTTTAAAATATTCTTTAATCTTAGGGGTAAGTAATTTAAGAAAAACTGAACCCACCCTGTAAAATTGACTATGGTATTTCTGGTAAAACTACATTATGGGATTGCTATTAAGATATGATTCTGGCCAGACGCTGTGGCTCATGCCTGTTATACCAGCATTTTGGGAGGCTGAGGCAGGTGGATCGCCTGAGGTCAGGAGCTCTAGACCAGCCTGACCAACATGGTGAAACCCCGTCTCTACTAAAAATAGAAAAAAAAAAAAAAAAAAAAAACTTAGCTGGTTGTGGTGGCAGGCGCCTGTAATCCCAGCTACTTGGGAGGCTAAGGCAGGAGAATCGCTTGAACCTGGGAGGCAGAGGTTGCAGTGAGCTAAGATTGCGCCATGCACTCCAGCCTGGGCAACAAGAGTGAAACTCCATCTCTAAAAAAAACAAACAAACAAAAAGATATGATTCTGCTTTACTGTCATTGTAGTGTTGGCTGTAGCCAAGAGTAGTTATAGTGGTACATATGAATGGTGTCTGTTAGCCATCTTTCTCGTATTTCCCTGCTAGTGCTTCTCATATTTTCTCCTTTATGCAGTGGACATGTAGATTTGCCAGATCAAAGCCAATGTGTTACATCTGCAAGGACACTCACTATTTATATGTGTGGTTGCCCAAAGTTCACTCTTGAACGTACAAGCTCTAGGCCTAGATTAGAGATCACTAACCATATGTTACTCTTGCCTTTTCTATTTCTGTTCTTAGTTGCTTTTGCAGGAGATGCAATGATCTTTTGTTACCATTTTCAAATGATCTCTGCAATGCCTTCTATCTTTACAGCAGCATGGAGGGTGGGAGTCTCCATTCTGTTTCTTTAAAAGAATATCATCTGGCCTCACTGTGTGGTAGACTTTTCTCTCCTACTAAGAAGGGCTTTTCTTTATGTTTGTCCCCTTTATCTTATTGCATTATATATGCCTTGGGACAGAGTCTTTCCTAAAAACTTGGCTACTTAACAATTTAAAACACAAATCTACATGCAGTCTCTGCATATAAGAATGTCATCCTTCAAGCTAGAGGTGAATATTATATCCTCTTTCTTTTTAATTTCTGTGCCTTTCTTGATTATTTCTTTTCAATATACTTTCTTGCTTTAACTTTTTCTTTCTCCATTTCATCCCATTTTTTAATTACAAATGTATTTACCAGGCTAATATTAGCCTCACTGGTGGCCGGAAAACTAAAAAAAAAAAATAGTTATGAGTTCTTAGTTGGACGTTACAGTGAGGAACAGAAAAAGTTTTTTAAAATAAGCAAAGTAAAAATACCAATGCCTGGTATAGTTTGTGGTCTTTTCTTAGTACTTAGTTAAGTGATGATTCCATAATTTCCTTAACCTCCTCTAAATTTTTGAAAATTCAGTTCAATTTCAGTTTCACAAATTTTAAGCATGAGTGCCAAGCAGCAAAAAGAGCAGCGTATGATCATCATTTTGTGAGACCTGAGGCAAATTTCTTCACAGTGGTTTCTTCACACATAAAGTAAAGGACACTTATGCATACTACAGACTGTTTAGTGAAAATTAAATAAGAAAATATATGATATGTGTAAAGTTAGCTTAGTTCACATCCCAGAATATAACAAGCACTTAATACATAGGTAGTTTGGCTTACTTCATTGTGTTTTATAACTGCTTTATGCTATGGGTCTCAAGGGATAAGTGGATAGCACTGTGTTTAAGAATTATCAAATGTGCCTGTTTCAGGCTGTAAACTCCTTAGATCTGATGTGTGACCTAGGCATCTACATTTTTTATATCAAGCCCAATAGGTGGCTTTGATGCTAATGAAAGGACCATGATTAGGAGCAGAGACTTGAGATTTATACATTCCTGAACTCAATCTAGTCTTTGACATTTACTAGCATGTTGCCTAGATTTAGTTATTTAAACATTTTAAGCTGATTTTAGTGGGGATAAATGAAAGATCTACTTAGCATATAGTAAATAATCAGCAAATCACTCAATTATAATCTAGTGGGAATATTTTCACATAAACAATTATGTGATGACCTCCCCAGAGTTGACTATAATGCCAAGATAAAAGAAAAAATAATCTTCCAACTTGCAATTATCTACATTATAAATAAATGCAAATGTAACAACTTTTTCATCCCCTTGTCATTATAAATCCATACTGAATGGAGGAGTTTGTATCAAAAATGTGCTTCTAAAATTATTTTTTAAACTCCTTCATAATTTTATATACTTATGTTGTTTTCATTATTTTCTTATAAACACAGAGAGAGAGAGAGAGAAAAGAGAGGAAGAGGAAGGCCAATAAATGGTGCAATCTCTGCCTCCTCGGTTCAAGCGATTCTCCTGCCTCAGCCTCCCGAGTAGCTGGGATTAGAGGTACCCGCAACCACACCCAGCTTATTTTGTGTTTTTAGCAGAGATGGGGCTTCTCCATGTTGGTCAGGCTGGTATCGGACTCCTCACCTCAGGTGATCCACCCACCTCGGCCTCCCAAAGTGCTGAGCCCCAACCATACCTGGCTGTAATAAGATTCTTAACACAGGAGAAAACAGATCATGTCCAGTCAGAGAATCTTTTTCTGTGATTTCTAAGATAATGTATTTTTTTTTTTTTTTGGCTTAAGCTGATTATTAGTGAGAAGAGTCTAAGTACCTTAGTTCCTTCTTACAATTCACCCTCCACCTTATAGTTCTAGTAATACAGTTTTAGCTTTTCCAAATAATTCAAGTATTGCATACATTTTCTTAAAGCTATGGTATACTGATAAAGACAAATGTATTTTACCAGTATTTTAGGACATACAACATACAAACATTAATTTTTACTGTCCCCTGCCTTCCTCTTAATCTATCTATATTTTCTTTTTAGTCCCATGTATACTATCTATCTTGAAAGAAAATTACAAAGGCAAGTAGCAAATAATGAGACCAGTAGGAAAGTGTGTTCCATCTGTAATGTTGCCAGCATCTAGTTAATTTAAATACTGAAAGATAAATCATGCACCTTGTCCTCCACACTCAACATCAAGAAGCGCAGTGAGCTCCTATTACTTGCTACTACTCCTCTTAACTGCGTAGCAATAACAGTGAGGGAGAAAAAGAAAAAACGGCTTCACCCAGCAATAGTTTCAGCAGCCAAAAGTTAATACTTCCTTTATACTTAATAAAAAGCAAAGGCTTCAAACCTTAGGCTGATTTCCATAAGACCAAACCTTCAGGCAGTATGACTGTAGTTCTAACATTCTCAGTTCATTGAAGGTAAAATTCCATGAGTTTTCACAGAATGAGAAATATAAGCACACAAATATTGAGTATTCTGAGCCTACTAATAAACCTAAAAGGAAGAGAACACTCTGTGCAAAGATTTTGAAAAATATGAAGGATAGATGGCCTCTGTGTAGTTAAAAGAACGTTTTAGGTTTCCATTCTTTCCAAACATTGACTCTAGATTTGAGAAACTGAAATCACTAAACCTATAAAGACCTTGGGTCAATGCAGATTTCAGGCTCATAAGCTGATCAGAGAATTAAATATGCCGTACTTGGAAGATCCTCTAAATAATTTATTTGTTCCTTGCCTTTGTTAGCATGTTTGTTTATTTGTTTGTTTTAATCAACAAGTCTATCTTTGTTCCACTGCTGCTGTTACCTGCAACTGAAGTGATAGAAACTCATTAATGCAGATTAGCGTCTGAAACTGAGCAACACTTACAGATTGCAATTCTTGTTTTCATTTTCCAAATATTCTCTTGGGTGAAAAAAAAAAAGCCAAGGGGCTAGTCGCTAGAGGAGAATTAAGCCATCTCAAACAAACAAACAATAGGTTTAATCCTGTTTTACTCTGGTGTTTATAAAACAGCAGATTACCCATGGTTGGAATAGATGTTCTGCTACTTTGCATTCTGATTATGGTAGCTAATGGCAAAAACACAAGCACAGTCCTGAAATTTCATAATAATGCATATTTTAATTCTTTCAGAAACAAAGTGATAAATTTTCACTACATTCAGCACTTTAATATCTGCTGAGATGGTATACTTTAGACCCAGAAGAAAGAATATATAAATCAGAATCTATGTCAAGGTGGTCTTTATTACATGAGCATTTTATTACATGATGTAAGAAATAATATTACAGGAGTTTGGCATGAAGTCAAACTCATCGCACAATATCAGATTTAAATACAGTATCATATTTTAATCTATTTTTGCCTTTGTCAAATTGACAGTCATCTTTTTCTTGTAATTAAATATCAGTTTGGACCCTCAGGCCTCTGAGACAAATTGGTTGTATTCTTATATGTTAAACACCGACTTAATTCAGTTCAATCTTTTAATTCTTCTTCCTTTAATTACTTAGTCTCTAAAACTAATAACTGGTTTTGTTTCTTTAAACTTATTGTGTAGTCTTGCCAAAGCAAATTGCTATATCTGATTTCATGTGAACGCCAAGTTGCTTAGCAACTTAAATCTGCCTTATATTTCATCTTTTTGCTTCCTCTTTAATCTCTAAATTTTTATCAGGGTGTAATTTTAGGCATATATCTATATTTACACAGATTTTTAAAAAATTCGCACAGTGAACAGTTTGTTCTCCATTGAATTTGTAGTTGTGTGTTTGCGTGGAGAGGGGGGCAAAGGACAGAGAGACGGAGTAAGAATAGGAGAAAGACGGAAGTGGGAGTCCGAAGAGGAAACGGAAGTGAATGAGAGAATGCATTTATAATATCCTATTCTTGTATCTTTCATGCTCTTAAATCGTATGACTTTTCCACCTTTATATGTAGTGCATATGTTCTGTTTTGTCTTCCAGGTACCAAGGCTCTTCTTTCTAACTTCAAGGAGTGAGGATTTAGTCATCTATACTAGTTCCTGCACAATTTCCTGCATAATTGGCATTCAGGCTCAGAAGACTCTTAAACCAGATCCAATTCAGAGCCTTGTGTGGTTTTATCCCCAGAGAGAAATTATCCTTTTGGGAGGTTTGTCATCTTTGTCAGGAAGAAAATGGTGTTACTGTTTCGTACTTTCATTGTGCCGTGGCAGACAGGCAGTGGCTTTTCAGCCAGGTCCATAAGCTAATTGTAGAAATGATGGAAAGTGTCAGAATGTAAAGAAAAAAAAGTCTTACAGTAAGTGACAGTTGTCACTTTGCTTATTTTCTGCTATTTGCTGTAATAGGCACCAAACTATAAAGGAACATTTGAAGGAGAAAAAAGGCTTGTTTCACACATGCATAATATTGAACAGAAATGAGCTTTAAATATTGGTGTACATTCCTTCAGAATGTAATTACCCTACATTACCCTATCAGTCACTCTTCTTCATCAGGGGCCAAAAATAATTTCTCCAGCGTCTCTCCATTCTTGCGTACCCACTCTCATCAATGCATACTCAGGGGTGTGTTGCTTACAAATCAGGAAAACAAATGGCAACAAGGAGAGTGAGCGCCCATTAATTTTGTGCTTTCTTTTTGAGAACAACAGCTTCAACCCAGCTATTAGTCGTCTTGAGCATGAAAGCAGTCTTCAAACTTGAAACAGAATTGTTGGTTTCAACGTTATGTTTTTATTTTTATGTTTTATGTTTTAGACGGGGGCTCACATTTAAATAAGGCTATTTCAATGCTTGTTTAGTGAATGCTAAATTAATTATAGTTTCCTTTTATGGAAGTTTGAGGGGTTTTTGACATCCTTATATTTTTTTTCCACTCTGCTTTTTTCTTTTATTGTGTGTGTGTTTTCATTTCTTTTTAGATGCTCTGCAATAAATGACTAAGACTTTTTTGACCGGGTTTCATTTCTTTTCCATGTCTATCATTTGCAAAATTTCAAAGGAACAATTTATTATCCGTTGTTTTTAAAATAAATAGCATTGAAAGTGTCTCTATATGCATTACAGCAGAACAGTTTTGAATAGCTTAAATGCCAACTAGTTGAATAGCTGCATATGGATATTAGCAGTCTCAGGTCTCTTCCAAACAACTTTCCTGGTGATGTAAGAAAGGTATTATAAAATGGTGTAGGGAGGAGGCTCAAGATCACCTCTACCATCTTTTTAGTTCTTAGTTGGGATCTTTGGTTGAGTCTAAGAACCAAATTGTCACAGACAGATTAATAGGCGGTAAACATACAAATGTTATTCATTTGTACATGCACATAGGGATCCACCACAGAGAGTGAAGACCTGAAGAAATAGACAAAGCAGAAACGTATTATACTTTTTAGACAAAGAAATGGTACTTCCATGAAGAAATGACAACACAAAGGCATTTGAGCTAGGGGTAGTAAATCATGGAGAAGCCCCTGGGAGATATTGGGTGGGGGGTGAAGCTAGTGGAAGATAAGGGTTATTTTAGTAACTTTATTTGTACAGATCCATTGCAACATCAATTCCAAGTCTTTAGTGATAAGAATTATTTTCTCGTCTCATGCAGGGAAGGTGCACTTAAAAGCAATTTTATGGCTTGCTACAGGTAGGAAGGGGCCAGTCAGATACTCCTTTCTGCAACTATTTCTCATTTTCTTCAGCTTGAAATAATCAATATGCCAAATATGGGTATGTTATAGGGTGCCATGTCCCTAACTCCTTCAGATGTATGGGCCCGTATATGACCATGAACATGTCTGTTAGGCCGGGTGCAGGGGCTCATGCCTGTAATCTAAGCTCTTTAAGAGGCTGAGGCATGAGGATCGCTTAAGGCCAGGAGTTTGAGACCAACATGGGCAACTTCGTAAGGCCCCATCTCTCAAAAAAGTAAAATAAAATAAAATAGAAAACTAGGGATGGTATACTCCTAGCTACTCAGGAGGCTGAGTTCAGAGGATCTCTTGAGTTCTGGAATTTGAGAGTGCAGTGAACTGTGATTGCCCTACTACACTCAAGTCTGGGTGACAGAGTGAGAGCTTGTCTCAAAATAAATAAATAAATAAAAGGTCTGACAACTTCAGGCACCATATGTTTCTCCTTAAGTCCCCAATACTGTCTTCCTTTTCTGGTCAAATTTACAATTATCCTTGTCTGGGGTACACAAAGCCACTTAGAAGAAACCATACTTTTGCTATTATCTATCATATAAAATTCAATATCCATGCAATAGAAGTATATATGAATGCTACCAAACTTCTAATTTTTTGAGTACCAGAAAAAAAGCTCCTATCATAAATAGGCAGCATGCTTTCTCCCCAACATTATGTCATACTATGTACCTGGGCCTCTAAATCTCCTTGTGTTCACTCACAATGTGAACACACAGTGGTTCAGCAGGGTTAATGAATATCCTTCAGAATCCTTGTGACCTAAGTAGGGAAAGGAACTAGATCATCCAACCACCTTGCTTCACCTTAGCTTATTGCCAACCAAAACATCTGTCCTTCCACCTAATACTACAAATGATCCTGTGCCTATGACTTAAGATGAATAGATTCTAAAATTTGTGCATTCCATATGGGTGAGAAGAAGCATGTTTCCTATTAGGAGCAGTTGGCCAAAACTGTACTGAATACAAGGTCATATCTATTCAGTAGTAAAAGAAATTAATCCCCCTACCCCCCACCATAAAAAAAGACCTGGGTAATGTGAGATTTAAAATGCAATCCTCAAAGCAGTTTGGCTTTTCTGCCAGGTGATGATTTGTTATAGCACTGAATGATGAAACTTGCTTTTCACAGAGAATTTTAGGTCAGTTGGAAGGATCTGTTCTCTCTGCATTATGAAGGGATACATTCCAGAAGAAATTAGCTGGGGTTGGTGTACCAACTTTGTAAAATTGCTTCCTCTCAGCAATGAGGATATCCTTTGATATAGATTACATTTCCTTCTTATACTTTCTGCCAAGTCTTTTCTGGGCTAAGATATTGTACAATGTTTTTACCTTTTAGGAATGAATTACCAACCAGACAGAGATGGTTCCAGGAAAGTCAGTTGCCAAGAAAAAACCAGTGAAATTCTTGGGTGGATATTTGGCATCCAAGCTAAGAATATCCCATTTATAAAAAAGTTTTAGTGTCTTTTTCTTTCTTTCTTTCTTTTTTCTTTTCTTTTTTTTTTTTGGAAGACTCTCAACTGATAGAGAGCCAGCTAGTGAATGGATATGGATTAGAAAAAATAATCCCTCAAACTGATATGTTTCCAACATTCTTCAAAATTGGGCCCATACAAAGAATGTCCTTTGGTTCATGATAGCTGTCACTGGATACAGAGCCTGGCACACTCTACTTCTATATGACCAGGTGTGCATAAGACATTGCTTTAAAAAGCCACTTCATCTTTGACCGTTAGCCTCGATTGTTTATTGTTGGTTTCCAGAAGCCCATTTCTTTATCACACATGTGATGTTGTCATTCTGTGTATCTTTCAAACATTTATTCTGATACCTAGGTTTGCTTTAATTATCTTACCTTAACTCGTTGGACACTGGAGGAAATCCTGAAGCTGAATATGCTATTAATGTGGCGCAAGATTTATTTCAGTTTTGGAATTCTTGTTTCTTTCTAGAAAATTGTGATAGACCTAACCTGGCAATTCTGTGTTATGTATGAGTTACATAAAATACAAATTTAACAGTAGAAAACAGAGTGTTCTAATCAGATAACTCTTTAAAATGTGTCCAGTTTTTGGTCTAGCTCATTTACACATTTTCTTCTTTGTGCTCATGCATTTTGATATAGGTATGTTTTATTTTACAATGTGGGCTATGTATAAGACAATCTCTTCTAGTGTAGGAAAAATTATTAGAAATGGTATTTCTATTTATTTTAATACTACTATCTCAGGGTTGGATAGATTTTGTGTATACTTTATAATGTTCCAAATCAGTGAATAAGGCAGTATATGTGTATATTTCACAGATAAAACTATGCATGCGTGAGGAGAATGTGTAGCCTTTTTTTTTGCTATGAATGTGCAATCAAATAAAGGTGGGAAACAAAACTGATGACATCTTTTAGAGCTCTTTCACACAAGAATATGTTGACAAATATTCAACACTCCCCTGATGTAAGCAGATATGTGATATCAGTTTCCTGGAACATGACTTGAATATTTCCTCTTAATAACTATACATTGGAAAAAGGTTCATATAATTTAACTAAAAAACACATTCCATATTCTCTTTTATATTTTTCATATTGGTCTATTCAGCAGCTTCCCTAAGTAGACATCTTAGGAACATTGGATAGTGTCTTTTCTAGTTGAAAGAACATCCCAAAAGATTGAAAAGTGGGTGAATAGAATCCAGAACAGGTGGTTATGTTAATTAAAACTGTATTATCTGCATTTTGATTGTATGTAGCGGTTTATGCACTGAGAAACTTGCAAACAATGTGTACAAATCCCATTCCTGAGAGGTCTAATTATTTTTAAGGAAGTTTAATAATTCTGACTACACTGCCAGTCATAAGTCATACTCATTCAATCGGCCTCTGGTGATGATTTGTTTAAAATAACCAAAGGACCTTATCATGTTGCGTTATTCCAAAATGCATACAAAGGTTCAGTAAACCAAATCTTTACTTCTCCTTCAGCTGCCATATTCCCAAATCCTTTACAATTTTCTTTTTTTTTTTTTTTTTTGGAGTCAGATCCATGAATTCATTGTGACCCCAGGCATGGAATTAAACTACCATTTCCACAACCAACAGCAAAATCCCACGGGGTCAATTATAGTTTTTGGTTTGTTTTGGTGATTGTATCTTATAAAGTGTAAAACACAGTATATCAGTTGCCAATACTAAGTTATAATGATATTTTTCAGCATGTAAGCATCTACTAATTAGTAGAAAAATGCAAATTTGCCTTATCTCTAAAGAATAAATCAAAGGATGATTTTACTAAGAACTATAATTTTAGGATAACATCTTAAAATTCTCATGTTATGTGACAATTAAAAATGACTAAATATAATTTAGAAAAATTATGAAATTAATATAAAACTCTTTTGCAATTACATTTACCTAGAGTAATTCTCATGGATAGACTAATGTTTTTAAAATGCTTTCCAAGGATTACCTCACAAAGCATTAAATCATGAAAATATATATTTTTAAATACTATTCATTACATGTAAAGACTGTTGTTACATTAGCATAAATAGTGATTAGAATATATATTCTCTTTCAGTGATCAATACACGTCATACATATAGGTGAGAATTTTTTATGACTCCAGAAATATCTTACCAAATTTCTAAAATAATAAACAATAGCTTATCATGTCCTAAAAAATAAGACATAAAAGGTTCTGCAGATGTATTTTTATAAGATGGAACCCATTAAATCAAGGTATGTAATAAGCAATATGATAAGTGACTTTGAAAAAGATTTTGCAAGATATTCCATAAGTTAACTTTTCTTTTTATATCACATTCCCTTGTGCAGTAAACCCCATCCAAATTTCTGTCATCATATTCCTTGGCTCCAGCCCTTTTCCTTTAGATCTGTCACCAGAGACACTGCATTTGCTTCTGTTGTAGAGCAAGAACACCCTTGCTGGTCACTCTCACACCACATTTTTGTCCTTCGTGACCTACCAGTTCTTTATACTCAGAGAACACGGTATAGTGCAAATCCTGACGGTAGGTTCTACAATTATGCTAATAGATTATAAAGGATTTGCAACAATGGAAATTACAATAAGGAGGTCCCCAAGGCTATTTTAATTTGTCAATTATCTCTCCAATAATGGGAACTTCTCATATAAATTTACATATTGTTTATTAAAAAATAGAAACAAAATTAAGGAGCAAGACCCTGCAATGTGTGATGGGAGAGAAGATCACAAAAGGGAGTAAATTTATTGAATACATACTGTATGCTAGAAACAAGGCTAACATCATTACATACAGTATATCTTTAACTTTCACAAATGGTTTTATAACTAACATTTATTTTATGCATAAGAAAATGAGGATAAGTAGCTTGGTAAAAATTAGGAGATACTTTATCCAATGGTCTACTTGAACTCCTATATCCAATTCTTATAAACTAGCTTACATAAAGTCACTCATATCTCAGCCGTGACCACTTTTGAATAATCAAGAAGAATATGACATACAAATTGAATTTTGAGAAATGTAAGAATTTACACTTCTTCTCATCAAACAAAGCAGAAGACTTTCTGCCTTTGCTGCTAATATATTGTTTTTGTGATGTGCAAGTTTTCTGCAGAGTGACAGTAATAACACAAGTCTGAAATTAAAGCCCCAACTTTTAATTAATGTATATCTACTATACAGAAACCTATTGGATCCATAATATGCTCAGCACCATGTTCTATATTTTCGGGAAAAGAAAAATAAAGCTCCAAATACTTTTTTTTCAAGGAACTCCCAATTTATTGCACTAATAGTTCAGATTCAGCATGTTAAGTGCCAAGACGATGTATGGAAAAAAAGATGATTGGTTCACAAATAAAGTAGTACATTATGTTATAGATAGTAGGAGAGTGATTTGTTTTGTTTTATGTAATAGGCACATTTTGACATTGTCTTAAAGAATCAATAAGAGTTACTGGACAAAAGGGATAGAGGAAGGTATTACAGACAGATGTGTTCAAATTTGAGAGACAGCATAAAGTGACTAAAACTATTCTTATCTGTGTATGGAAGATAAGTATAAAAATGGACAAGGAAACATTTCCCAGAGCTCATATCCCATGGTGAGGAGTTTGGATGCTAGGAGAAGAGATAAAATGATTACAGCTGTAACCAAGAAAGACTGTTGAGGCAGCAGAGATAAAATATCATAAGGAGAATTAAACTTCAGGAGAAGTCAGTTTGATTGTTGCAATAATCAAGCCTAGGTACCCTTAGGACTTAAATTAGGACAATTTCAACGAGGAGTGAGAAACAAAACTCAAAAATTATCAAGATATACTTAGGATGTGTAATTGAGAGAACGTGGCGATCATTTACATGTGGCATGAGAAAGAGGTGGTTGTTGTGGGAACTCCCAAGATTGCAGGTAATATAGAAGACAGGATGATGAGTTCCATTTGAGGTAGGTGATTTGCTATTCCATGAAACATAAAAAGATATACCAAGTAACCAGCCACAAATGGGTCCAAAGTTTGGTATAGACTGGAAACAGAAAATACAGAATGCACAATGATAGCTGAATCTTGGGCATAAAATAAATCAGCAAGAAGTAGTATTCAGAGGGAAAATGGAAAGAAAAGATGGCCAAGAATTGGATATATGGAAACATAGCATTTAAAGTTTATTAGGGGAAAAATAATGGATGGTAGGAAGGGAAAAACACAGTCTTAGTGAGAATGAAGTAGGGGATTAAAAAAGTTTCAGGAAAAAGGCAGTGGTTAATTGTATCATGTGGTAGAGTGATTCATTCCGATGAGGATAATGGCTAATTGGCCTGGTGGTTCAGCATTTAGATCATTAGCGATCTTAGTGGGAACAATTGCAGTGAAGTAGTAAAAATGAAGTCAAATTCCCTGGGTCTCATGAATTGAAAGTGAAGTAGTAATACAAAAATATAAACTAGTTTTTCAAGAACTTAAGTGTGAGAAGTGATGGAGATAATTAAACCTACATTTGTTGCAGGTTTAGTTTATTTATTTATTTATTTATTTATTTATTTATTTATTTTTGAGATGGAGTCTCACACAGTCATCCAGGCTGGAGTGCAATGATGCGATCTCAGCTCACTGCAAGCTCCGCCTCCCGGGTTCACGCCATTCTCCTGCCTCAGCCTCCCGAGTAACTGGGATTACAGGCTCACACCACCACACCCGGCTATTTCTTTGTACTTTTAGTAGAGACGGGCTTTCACTATGTTGGCCAGACTGGTCTCAAACTCCTGACCTCGTGATCTGCCCGCCTCAGCCTCCCTAAGTGCTGGAATTACAAGTATGAGCTACTGTGCCTGGCAAATATTTTTCTTTAATTTATTTGTTTCCTTGTGATCTGAGAGAATTCTTTAAAATTCTGCATAGAATCTATATTTAGATTGCAGAAAACAGCTTTAAAAAATAAATATTAACACCTAGGTGATGTGGTGTTCAGTTGTTCCTGAAAACTAATAATATGATGAAAGTTAGATAGATAATTAAATTCTCATCCAACTTTTTCAGTAGCATAACTTTCAGTAATTTAATATCACATTTTTTTCCCTTATACTCAGGCTGCTACATTTAATAGAAGTTCCCCACTTACCTCACCATCTCCCCACTGGCCATATCTTGGGCTGGACTCCTTCTTGACTCCACCTTCTTGACCACGAGGAAAATAAAATTATTCAGTCATTTCATCGGCCTTCTTGGGAATCAATATAATCTTTATGGGGACCCTGAGGCAGATGTTGTGGAAACAGAGTGTATCCAAGATTGCTCTCGGTGTTCTGTTGGGGGCTATGTATTAGTGAACATTGCTCATCTTGCTCACTGACCAGGAAGCCACTGGTCTCCAATAACTCCTGTAGGAATTCAGAGGCTGCTTAAGGCTAAAGATGACCAGGTAGGAGGCTCTAACTGCCTTAGAACCCAGGAGTAAAAGGGTCAATATACTGAAGTACACCTGTACCCCACATGCAGAACACTTGTTGCACAGCTCTGACCTAAAATAAATAGAAAATACCATAAAATAATCAAAGTATATCAATGAAAACTCCGGAAATATGTCAAAAACTTCAAAGTTTGCTATGGACCAGAACAAAATGCAGCTAAAGATTTTTCCATGACTTATTATAATGAATCAGCAATCATTTGCAGAGAGCTCTACAATTTTCTAAATATATTTTATCTCATTTGATATTAAAAACATTAAGTAGGAAAGGAGATAGTATATGCATTTTAAAATTGAGGAAGTAGAGAAGTGAGAGATCTAGAAATAAAATGGCTTGCACAAATGTTAAAATATGGTCTGTAGGTAGCAGATGCATTTCTAGAATGGAATTAACCTCAGTTATTTAAGATAACTATAGAAAAATTTGCCACAAGCGATATCTGCACCTAATTCTATATTCTTAACATTTAATAAGAGGTATTCAAATTGTGGAAACTACATTTAATTCTTTTTCCACAGTCTTCCCTCCAATCCTTTAAAAATTATGACTGTGATACATAATCGCTGTCTGAAAACACAGGACAAGAAGTATTGAATTCTTCAAGTTACATATTCTAGGTACTGATGACCAAGGTTGCAGGGATGTACTCCTTTCTTGTGTCAGTTTAGACTTGGCATGAAGGAGCATACAAGGACTGCCGCTGAAAAGCCTGCCAGCCTGCTTCATGCTATTCTTAAAAGGAAGAGCAAAAAAGGCTCGAGGCCTTTCCAAAGCTTATGTGGAGACTAGCCAGACTTCTGGGATTCAGAATGGCTTGATGACTTCCTCATCTGTCACTTGAGCTGCCCTGACATTCAAAAACTTTGTAGAAGTCCTTCTAGGTATAAAGTTAACGTCATTAAGTGACTCTAAATATAGTTTGAAAAAATTAAGTCCTACCTCATATTATCAGCCCCAAAAGATTTTATCATGGCTGGGGCCATTTTTAAAATAAGTTTATGAAGGCTATTCAACTGTATCTATTAGAACAGAGATCTTCACCATATGACTAACTGTAGATTGCTTCTTCACCAGCAGCCATGAATACCTTGCAATCATATTAAATGCATGAATCTTAGGATATATACATATAGGTACTTTAGGTTGAAACGATCACTGGAGATATTTAAAAATATTTTTATCAAGGTCAAAGCTACTCCCAAAGTATAGCTAACTGAAATGAATATCCAAGATCCCATTGTAGGGACGGGGGGAGCTGTGTTACTGATGATTTGGCAGCATCTTAAGAAGACTACTAATGGTGGCATCACTACCAATGAATTTATTTAAGTGCCAGTATGTATCTAAATTACCCAGAAATAACTCCTAGCCTCCTCTGAAAGCAAAAGGGGTAGACACGCCCTCCATACCTTTCCACAAATTTCCATCTATCTCTCCATGAGGCAAATTTCAATTATTTTGTCAAATCATTTCTTTTCCAGAATGCATTAAATTTTTGTTTTAATTTGATATCATTATTTAAAAGAAAAGAAAACGGGGCATTGGGCCTGGGGGGAAGTAAAGCTAAGAAATTATTTCTGTGGGATTGCTAGGATGCAAACTCCCCACTGAGATATTGCAAATGAAGGGATTTTTTAAATTACACTATTTGCATTCCAGAGCCTAGAAATGGGGGTTGAGGAGCCAAGAGTTCTGGAAGTTGCAATGTAATTGGAATAGCTAAACCAAATCTGGAATTTCACAATAACTGCCTAGCATATTCCATGCCCAGGATATGGCATCTGAATATAAAATCTAGAGGAGAAAACCCATGATATGACAATACTTTCCCTCATTCCAAATCATATGTCTCTTAAAATAGTCTTTTATAGCTAGATGCAATTACTGAAATGTATTTATGATTCAACTGTGATTGAAGCTATTTCCCCGATTGGATAATAATGCAATTAAATATGTCAGTGAAGCTAAGGTTATAGATGAATCGAGAAAAATCTCTGGTAACATGGATTAGGCTACAGCAACATGTCCAACCCTCTCTCTCTTTCCAATAACAACTGACATAAATCAAGTATTACCATTGACTTATATTGTTACCCTACTCCACAAACCCTGTACAATAGGGTTTTATACAGGAGTTTGATAACTGTTTGCTTGACAAAATTAAATTGAGTGATTCTCAAACTCTATCTGGGGTCTTTTGATTCTGGCCACACGGGTTCATTTTCTTTTGCAAAATATGCCACACTCTCAGGTAACCAATTGCCTCACCTAACAGAAGTACTAATTTTACAGTATATTGGTCTAATCCAATGCCATTTTCTTCAATAAAAAATCAACTCTAAATTCTAAGGAACAGAGAAGTCATTTTTATAAGGCAGTTTGCCCTTGGAGTAAACAAAAATGTGTTTTTCAATCGTTCCCTTGAATTCCTAATTTATATAACTTGTAATTTTAAAACCATTCTACTTTTAAAACATGTATTTCAATTAGTTTAGATTTGCAAAATGTTTATGTTAAGTATATACAGCAATGTCTTTTATATTACAAAAACCATATAATTACATTTTTCAGACATGAAAAATGAATTAGTGCTGCATTATATGTGGTGACAAATTTTCTTGTTTGTTCTAATTTCACTGAATAGCTACAGTAAGCTTCTTTGGCACAGTTTAGAATAGCTCATTTGGCTCTCAATGCAAAACTTTGGTTAATATGAAGAGACCAGTACTGTACTAAAGAAACAAATCACATTTTTAAGATTCTAGAAGACAAATACCAGTATCAAAGATTTTCCAGTGGAATATCAAATATGATTCAAAATTGCTAATGATAGGCAAAGTATTTGCCAAACTAGTAAAAAATTATTTAACTTATATAATGAAGGCTAAAATGTTCAGAGCTAAAGCAAAAGTTTGAAGTTACTATAAGATCAAAAGTAGTTAGCTATGTCATAAAACTGTCAAAAATAGTAATGGGAACTTTGGATGAATAAGAATATAATACACTGTCACCAAGAGGTGATCATGCTATCTCTACTTTGTTCTCCTTGTCCTATCCCTGCAGTTGGGGACTGTATTTTAAAATTATATTGATAAACTGGAGAGCACATACAGGACAAGTGACCAAGAATTTGAAGGAAATAAAACATGACAAATTAATTGAAAGAACTGGGAGTGTTAAGTTAGAAGACAACATTTATGATGACCACAACCATAGTTTTTGAACACTTAAGGCTCTGTGGTGAAAAATGGATGAGTGACTCCCATAAAAGAGAATAATTTTTGGCAAATGAGCCATAGAGATATTGTATAAAGAAGAATGTTCTAGAAATTAAACTTGTTCCTCAAGCAAAAAGGCCCATTCTACAAATAGTGAATACCCAGTTCTTGGAGGGGATTAAGTAGAGTTTGGAATCGGAGAATTGTTTTTAGAAAAAATGATTCAGATGCTGGCTTAAACTAGATGAACTTAAATGTCCCTCCTTACACTGAAGTTCTCTGACTATGTAAAACTTTGTATAAATATGTCTTTACCATCTGGAATGGCTGCCACCCTCATGTTTAATTAGTACAACCAATCAAAATCTGAGGTCTCTTTTCAGATGGAAATGTTTTTAGTTAATTGAATTTCTTATTTTAACAGAACAGATTCCTGTAGTCCTCATGATTGCAAAGAACCTTCTGTGATATTTCTTCTGTTAAAAGAGCAAAGTAATTTCAAAATGCTTTATTTAATTATCACACTAATCATCTACCTTAAGAAGTGTATCCTTAAAATTTGTTGTCATCAGTATTTACCGAGAGCCTATTATATGTAAGGCAGATATAATAAAGGTTCTTTGAATTAAAAACAGTGTCATAAGAGTGCAAGGACTTAAAACAAGAAGAAAGGAAGAGAAATTTTAAAGCTTATCTAATTGGAGGATCAGAAAAAGTTTCATGGGGGATGAGAGGAGATGGTATTTAAAATAGGTGTGAGCGATGGGAATTATTTGAATTGGCAGAGACAGAAGACTTTCTCTGAGTACAGGGAGCAGCTGGAGAAAATGGAAAGGAGGAAAAATATAAGGCTTATAGTAAATGAAGACTTCAATGAACTGAGAAATAATTCTGGAAATATGATTGGGGGATCTATGACATGGCTTTGTTAAGGCTTAGACATTTTGTATTTAATTCCATAGGTGACAAGGGATAATTAAGGGCTTTGAGTAGGTGAGCCATGGAATTACCTATTAGGAAGGCTAGTCTTATGAATTATATGGCATGGATTAAAGAGGGAAAGCATGGCTTCAGTAGAGCAGTTATGAGGTTATTAAAATTGTTTGAAACAAAGTTGGTACTAGTCGAAAAGGAGAAATGCGATCTTTGTTCCTATGTCATGTTTGGAAATCCTTGAATGCTTTTGGTTAGAATCCAGCTAGAAGAGCTCTTGTAACCATTTTTGGCCAGCAAATGTACAGACATAGACTTTAACTTGGTGAAGGACGTGCAAGTACTCTGGATGATAAATGAGACTTGCTAGGAAACACTACTTAAAAACATGAAACAATTGCTTCTCTTTTTGATGCTTGAAGTACTTGAGTAAATAGCCTCAAGTCTATATGGATCTTGAGAAATATTTATTAAATATTTGAGAGGCTTTGCTGCTGTGAAAAATGATTATGACTACCACAGCATGCAGTAGTTGTGGCCTTATAAATAGAAGTTTAATATACTTAATATCCAGTGCTGAAAGTGTTTTCATTTTGTCCCTAATGCACTGAAAGTGTTTTAAACTATTGAATTTGATGGGTCCTGTCACTGTACTTCTGCCATGACCCCACAGGGCCATCATTCTATTCATTTTCATTCAATGCATTCTTACTCGTAATAATGAACTAAAAGGCAAGCAGAGCTAGCTATGCAAGGTTTGGATAAATGAGAAAGAACTATGTAGTCTTAAAACTGAGAGTTCAATGGACTGTTCATAGAACTTTAAAACCACATGTTAGGGCTTAATCACATAGATCAAGGACATGAAACTATTCATGTGGCATGCTTCTTATTCCAGTGTAGTCCGTGGAAACTTTCTTTTCCAAGCCATGAAAAATCTGTTTTCAGACATATCATCAAGTTAATAAAATGAAATTGCATGCATGCCTTACTTTCCCTCCATCATCATCCACATTATTAGAAAGTTGGTGTCATCATCAGGTAGGATTTATTAAAAACTTGCATGCACTAAGTGCTTTCCTTTTCAATTCAAGTGGCAATTCTCTTACACATTTTATATGCATATTTTGGTAGTATGTCCATTATTGAGCTTTTATGATAGGTTTATTTGCTTCTTATCACTGGTTGTCCTCTGCAGCAGGGTACATTTTCCATTGCAGATACCTGCTTGCACCCTATTAACTTTTGTAGATTTTTGAAATAATTTTAATAAGAGTTACGGTTAATGATATTAGGGAATAGACTGATACATTTCTATTACTTGCTAGCTGGAGTGAGACTCATGGAGCACACTTTGAGTAGCTCTGGCATTACCTGGAAACTTGTTAAAAATGTAGTATCTCAGGCCCTATCCCAGAGCTACTGAATTGGAAGCTGCATGGTACCTGGATCTATGTTATTGACATACTCTGTAAGATTTGAGAAGCACCACTCTATTTACTTTTAAATGTACACTAGTTTGAAATCAAATTATAATAGCCCAGTATTGTAACAAAAGGTCAGTTAAGGGCTCTTCATGTCTCTGTGAATATAAACCAAATCCATATAAATGTGAACAGTAGCATTTTTATTCATGAGATCACTGGACTGCTCAGGTGAAAGTTATTATACACATTAATTATTCCTTAAGTGATAGTTCTTTGGTGTATATCTAGCACTTTCTCTTCTTAGTATCCACTGATGACTTCACCTTTGCAAGGTAATTTTTTAAACAGTGTCATCTGTTAAAGAAATGCAGTACTAATTCATCACAAATGAGAGTGGACAGTGTGGGGCAGTAGAAAGAACACAGGATGGATGGTGAGAAGAAGTGCTTTATGGTTTTATCTCTATTTTGCATTTTAAGTGTGCTTTTAGAATTTCAGAGTCTTAGGCTCTTTTCATTTAACAAGGGAATGGGTTGAATTTGCTTGTATCTAATGTTTTCAATTATAACATTTTAAGGGTAATAGTCACAATGAAAATTTTTATTCAGGTTTAATTATAAGTACATATTGAAATAGTGATGTTAACAGGGTTTCACAGATATAAAAGATAGGGGCCTTAAAGATAAGACTTTTGAATTCAGGCACACCTAGTCAGAATTTCAATCCCTGCAATTTGCAAAGCATTGTTTGGCCCTGAGCAACTTACTTTACTTTTGCATTTAATATCTCCACAGGACTGTTGTGAAAATTAAGTGAAATGATATATGCAATATATCCCCTAGTGAAATGCCTTACACTAAGAAGTCATTAATAATTGGCTATTTTAATTACTTCTCATCTTCTGTAATGAAAATAACACAATAGTCATAAATGCTTTGGAGGACATTATACTTAGACAGGATAGACTTCATATAGACGCTGAAAAAAGGAAGTAAATATAGTGTATAGATCTCTGGTTTTAAGCAGTGCTCAGTATAATCATCTCTGAAGGTTTAAAAATACTCATGCTCAGGCCCTACTTGCAGAGTTACAGAATGAATCGGTGTGAGGGTAATCCTCAGCCATCAAGTTTTTGAAAGTTTCCATGTAATTCTAATGTGCAAGTCAGGTTGAGAATCTCTGGTGCAGATAATCTCTCGAATTCATTGTTGGCAAATGTTATAAATGAACAGAATATATTGACAGATTTCTTAAACAGATGAAATTCAAACCCTGTCAACAACTTATATGTGAGTACACTTATTATGCACAAACATGCTCACCCATCAAATCTAAGAAATACTTGGTAAAATCCAAACAGCATATTTGCCGTGAAAAAATACATAAACATCAGCAGAAAATGTCATCTAAGGATAATCATTAATTTGAAACTTACCATTTTCAGAATTTTTTTTTTGTTATGGGATCTTCCTGTAGTGTTACAGAACTTTCATTTTTAAACAAATATTTTATGAAATCTTCAATTTTACACAAATTCAGGATACACATCAGGACAGTCATAAAAATTATTAATTAAATGATTATATTAGAATATACTAACAGTGATGTGAGTATACTAACATCATATACTAACTTTGATGTTAGTTACTAACTTTGATGTTAGTTACTATTTAAATATAGAATCTGTTTTTCAAGATGTGATACCGTTTGTTTCTTGAGATTTTTTTCTTTGTCATTAACATGTTTTACAATAATCATAATGTCCATACTTAAATGTTCAAAGTTGGACAAGACAGAGTTGTTTGTTTACAGATAAACAGTAGCAGAAAATGTAGCACAATCTAATCAAAAACAAACTAGAATAAAGCAGTTTTGATACAGTAAATTGCTGCCACTGATGCTTTCTATTACACAATAACTGAAGCCCTCCTTTATTGAATAGTTCACATCTTGTTTCTAGAAATGTGATGATTAACAGGCATCCTAAAGATGGAGCATTTTTGCAGAAGCCTTAACATGTGGGGTTGTTTTTCAGTACACTTGCATTTTCCCCAGAAACTTTTGCTTTTTCATAAAATATTTTACTGTAGAATTTTCCCGATGGTAGGTATTAGACATTTTTCAAAAGCCTTGTCACTCTTAAAATACAGTTGAATTGATTAGTCTTAAATTGGTGTAGCAAACATTTCTCACAGATTCTTTGAATGGAATTATTATATTCTGTCTTTTTCTCTGCTATGTATGTGTGCACTAATGCACATGTATGTAAACTATGGGAAAAGTTATTTTACTATAAATCTGTAAATTTTATGAGGTGTAAAACTAGTTTGTTCAGGTAATGAAACTAAAATTTATTATAAATTTAGCAGACATAAAAATTCTAAGCTAGTTACATTTAAAAAAGGATCTTCCTAGTTCAAGAAAATGTAAAAAGAAATCTGGGAGGTTATGTATACATATATGCATATGTAGAAGTATGTGTATATATATATCTACTTTTGAGTGCACATAGGCAACAAATTTTGAGATCTCTTTGATATGTGAATTTTTGTTGTTGTTGTTGTTAAAATGACTTTCTTTTTTTTCTTTTTTTATTTTTTTGAGACAGAATTTTGCTCTTGTCGCCCAGGCTAGAGTGCAGTGGCACTATCTTGGCTCACCACACCCTCTGTCTCCTGGGTTGAAGCGATTCTCCTGCCTCAGCCTACCAAGTAGCTGGGATTGCAGGCATGAGCCACCACACCTGGCTAATTTTGTATGTTTTTGTAGAGATGGGGTTTCTCCATGTTGGTCAGGTTGGTCTCTAACTCCTGACCTCAGGTGATCTGCCCACCTCAGCCTCCCAAAGTGCTGGGATTACAGGCATGAGCCACCGCGCCCAGCTAAAATGATTTTAAATGTAGTATTGGTGCTTATAACTGATTGTTTATAGATTTAGATTATAATTGTCTTCTATTATACTTGTTTAAACTTTGTGAAGTGATATTTTATAGAAATATATAGCATTTATATATAACACAGAAAAATATTATGCAAAACAATATAGAATTATATAGTATTCTATACTATACATTATATATACTAAAAATATATAGTATTCTTAATTATCAAATTTCCTTAAGGTCTATTCAAGAATGCATCTGCCGAGGTGGGCGGATCATGAGGTCAGGAGATTGACACCATCCTGCCTAACCCAGTGAAACCCTGTCTCCACTAAAAATACAAAGAATTAGCTGGGAGTGGTGGCAGGTGCCTGTAGTCCCAGCTACTCGGGAGGCTGAGACAGGAGAATGGCGTGAACCCGGGAGGTGGAGCTTGCAGTGAGCCGAGATCGCGCCACTGCACTCCAGCCTGAGTGACAGAGAGAGACTATGTCTCAAAAAATAAATAAATAAAAGTAAAAATAAGAATGCATCTGCATAGTGGTAGCCTGTTAAAGATCTAGCAAATAAAAAAATAAAAAAAAAAACAACTATGCATTTCTCTAAAGTCTTACGAATTCATCTAAGTAAAGGAAGTGAAAGATATCAGAGAATGATTAATTTTTGTGTGATTTCCTTTCTCTGTGGATATTTTATTGTTTAAATAATGATAACTGACACTAAGAGTAGACAAGTAAATCAAAGAAAATATTTATTCCTGGTGACAAATACAGTCATGTTGATATGGTTTGGCTGTGTCTCCACCCAAATCTAATCTTGAATTTTAACTCCCACAATTCCCATATGTTGTGGGAGGAACCCGGTGGGAGGTGATTGAACTATGAGGGTGAGTCTTTCCTGTACTGCTCTCATGATAGTGAGTGAGTCGCACAAGATCTGATGGTTTTAAAAATGTGAGTTTCCCTGCACAAGGTCTCTTCTCTCATCTGCCACCATGTGAGACATGTTTTTCATCTTCTGCCACAATTGTGAGGTCTCCCCAGCCATGTGGAACTGTAAGTCCTATAAACCTTTCTTTTGTAAATTGCCCAGTCTCAGGTGTGTCTTTATAAGCAGCGTGAACATGGGCTAATACACATGTATTTCAGCTATTATTCTATAAACAGGGTAAATCTAGTCCAGAAGAAAAAATTATGAACCTGTTAAGTATATAGTTAAAAGGAGAGCCAAGGATAAAAGTCAGTTCTTTGCCTTCATATCTCACCCTACTTTAATTTCAGTAATTCTCGATTTCAGTCTTTCTGATCTGATTTCCTGTGTCACATTCCCAAAGATCCCACTTAAATATGCATACCTTTTTGTACTCTCCAGGATTTTATTGCTTCTTTTATTTTATTTATTTTATTTTATTAGCGTCCCTCTCTGTCGCCCAGGCTGGAGTGCAATGGCGCGATTTTGGCTCACTGCAACCTCTGCCTGCCAGGTTCAAGTGATTCTCCTGCCTAAGCCTCCTAAGTGGGATTACAGGCGCCCACCACCACGCCTGGCTAATTTTTTGTATTTTTAGTAGAGACGGGTTTCACCAGGTTGGCCATGCTGGTCTCGAACTCCTGACCTCAGGTGATCCACCCGCCTCAATCTCCCAAATTGCTGGGATTACAGGTGTGAGCCATCACTCTCAGCTCTTCTTAAAACAAATACTGGTTTTGCATTCCTGCTTAAAATATCCCGAAATATGTCCTATCTGTAAGAATTCAGGACACACTTCCTTGGAGTTATGGTAAATGAAAATGTTTTCTTTAAAAATATTTATTTTAAGCTTTAAGTATTTTTATACAAATCATTAATTGAAAATGTTTATTATTCCCATAATTCCTATTTTGCTGATATTTCAAGCCAAGGATACAGACACCAGTCTTTGAATATTACATGATAGCTAAAAATGTTCATTTTATATTGGAATTCTCATTTTATGATGTAAGGATATTTTATGGGTCTGGTGTGGTGGCTCACGCTTATAATAAAAGTGTTTATGAAATGATATGTTAGCCTCAAAATTTCAAGAAAATCAATGATCAAACTTAGAATTAACAAGAATATTTATAAAGTGAATAGACACGAGATCAACATATTCAAATCAGTACTATTACTTATATTAACAATAACCAGTTAAAATATAATATAAATAATCCCATCCAAAAAATAGTAATACATGAGTATACTTCTAACCAGAATGCACAAAAATTCTTACTGAACCAGAAACAGATGCTGAAGAACTGTTAATCTTTAATAATGATAACAAAGACTCCCTATCAGAAATAAAAGACAATTGTTAATAAAATGTTGCTTAAAAAATAAATATATCTAAATTAAGTCATACTTTCCTTGTGACTTTCATAGCCATCTAAAAGAGGTAGTTTCTATTGAAAACTATGTATCTCCAGCATAGTATTTATTATTAAAATGTTTCTCGTGATGAAAATATACCCTTGTCAATAAAAACATAGAATGTTCATTGCCAGTCATTCACCATTCAAGAGAGACCATTTATTAAAAGTTATATGCAACAGTGCAGTCCATGGCAAGGATGCATGCAAATGGTGTGAATTATATATAAATTACACCAGAGCTTCATATTAATGATACTAACTGGCAGTACTAGATATCCTTTCAATGTTTGCTTATTTGAATAAGAAAGGATATAGTTTTACGTAACATTTGGGGAAAAACAGTTACATTTTTCATTAAGTCAAAATAGGACAGACATTTCAACATCGGGAGTATTCCTAACTATCCTATTTCCTTAAAGTCTATTAAATAATGCATCCAGGTAGTAGTAACTGACAGCCTGTGAACCAATTACAGTTGACAGTCATGGAAAGTCTAGTTGAATGTCACCAAAGAGGGCTTTATTTACTCCTTTTTTCATGCAATCTAAGTGTAAGTTCTACTTCCTAGTACATCTTAGACACATTGATGAAGCTGTGAAAAACATAGATACATATAATGTGAGTAAAATACAGTCTATTTGTGTTCGGTATTGCAATGTAGTCGATATATACATATATACACATATACTTTTTATTACTTAATAGTTGATTTGCATAGTTCATACTTTCTTCCCTTCTGAATCTGCAAAATAGTAGCAATAGGATTAGGTCTTCTGTTAGAACTTTTTCTTAAAAACATACTATCAGAAAGAAAAAAAATATTTCAAGAAATATCAGTATCAGTGGAGAGTTCATAAGTAAGAGCTTACATACACACATTCTGTCTCTCTGTCTCTGTCTCTCTGTCTCTCTCTCTGTCTCTCTCTCTGTCTCTCTCTCACTCATACACACACACGCACACACACACACACAAACACACACACGGAAACTCTATATCCAAACTCTTGCTTCCGGTACACAACTTGTTTCCAAAGTTCTAGACATTTGCTATAGTAATAAATTTCTAATTTTTTCAAAGTAAAATAAATCTTGGGCAATCAACACTGTGCTTTACTATTCTACCTGTAAAAGTTTTGGGGAATAAACAACTCACTCATAAATACTCATGGTAGTCCTAAACAAATCAAAACCAACAAACAAAAACAGATAAATGAAAAACAACCTAACCAACATTATGATCACCCTTTTATGCTTTTATTAATAGCAACATTAATTAAGTATATATGATCTTTAAAATTATTTTTGCATATATTTTCATTCTAAATAAATCGGAAATATTCCATTTAAGAGAACCTGGAAAGACTTAAAGGACAGAGCTAATAAAAACCAAATAATAATTTCCAATTTTTTGGTACTAAAAATAATTTTTAAAATTTTTATTTAAAGGCACTTAATTATTTAAAAAGCTCATAACAAGTAATATAATTCTATAAATGACTTATCAATATAAGGGGTGGAATACATTAATGTAATATTTTAAATTTTAAAAAAGTATAAATATGACAATTTTATTTTCAAGATTTGAATATTCAGAACTTTAAATGTAAGAACTGACGAATGTTGCTATGACATGAAAATTCAGAAAATTCTCAACCCTAATGATGATTATACTAGTGTTCATTATGGAATTGTTTTAAAATTACATCTCAGCCTTATGAATCATATCAGAAATACACAAATATTATTTAATTACCGTCTTTATTTTTCATTTGCTGTGAATCAATTATGAATTTTAGACTATTTGATTTGAATTGAGGCATCACTTAGGAATTGAACAGTCTAAATCTTAAAAAAGTGGAAGTTGAATCAGTAACACAGTTTTCAGGAATCTCTTGTTGACCTGATTTACACTTCAAATGGATTCACAATATAAACTAAAAATGACTTTAATATTGTACTATTAAATAATAATTTTTAGGTTTTTTATGTAATTGCAGTGTTAATCAAAAATAAACTTTAAAATATTTATTTTATACCTTCTAAAATAAAACTAATTTAATCTCTGTGTCATGGAGAATACATATTATATTTCTATCAAACTTCAATCTGCTTTTGATGGAAATGTAATTAAATGGAATCTTTTTAACTAATAATTTAAATTATTTTAGATGCCTTGATTTAAATCAATTTCATTCTAAATTGGGATATATGTTTCCTGAATTTAATCTCCGATGATCCACGGCAAGAAAACTAAAGAAAAGCCTTTAGTGTTATAATCAGCAAAAAAGAGCAGATTTTAGAAATAGAGCTAATGCCATGTACTAAATGTCATAGACACAGACACAAGATAGCATAAATCTTACTATCAAACTTGTATATTTTGAAACATCCAAGTATTTTGATCTTAAACAGGATAAACTTATAAAATTTGAATTGTGAGTGAGAATGAAAGAAAAGACAACTAATAGAAGGTACAAAATTTCAGTGGGCTCTCTTATTTTAGTTTCCTTAAAAAAGAAATTAATGAGCTGCCCTCCAGATAATGGGAATTGTGCTTGAAGTGGACTGTTTTATTAATATTTTGAAATGGAGTAAAAATTTTTTGAACTAGTCAATTATCTGTAAATGAGAACATGAGTTCCACCTTGACAAGCAGAATGTCTTAAAATAAATACTGGGGGTATATTAAAACTCATTAGAAAATGCATGGAAAAAATTTCCTGTTTCACCTGACAGCTCACTCTAACGCATTAGCAGCTTCCTCCTGGGTGTTAGAATTAATTCTGCCACAAATATATTTAGTAATTTCAGGTCCCCTCCCCAGTAGGTTTCCACACTTCAGTCATCAAGATATTGCTGCTTTTCTACATCTCATGCTGTGTAGAGAAATGACAAGACATTGAAGGAAAACCGATTCCTTTGGATAGTAGACATAATCTGTTCAATTGTTTTGGTATGGCTGCTTCTTTTCCCCAAGGAATTCTCAGAGTTTCCCGCCTTTGCTAACCTTGCTCTAGGAAGCAAATTTGTATCAATTGTTATACATTGTTTCCAGTGTGAGATGGAGAGGACTAATATTGCTGCTGTCACTCATTCTCCAAAGAGTACTTTGTTTCCTACCAATGAGAACTAAGGTTTTGAGATACCCTTTAAAGAGGAATATTGGAACACATATTCTAAAACTGGACCATTTACATGATTCTCCCATAAGGGTTTCTTCTCTTCTTGTTTGATTTTGCCCCAAAATGATTAAATAATCTACTTTTCCCTTTTTGTGATCTTCTATTATTTTTCTTGATAGAATTATTTGACTTGTTTTAGTGAGGATAAGTGGAATCTTGTGTACATAAAATAACCAAAGAAACTTTCGGATGTTTTACCCTGAACTAGTAGTTGGTAAATAGACCTACATATTTTCATGGGTTTGTGATCATAGTCACTATTTTTTTGAAATCTTGCCTCCTTTGGTTCTTATTTTGTTCATAGAGAAGAAGGGCTATTCTTAAAGAACAGCTTTTCTACTTCAGGAACATTAGAGAAGCAATAATTTTTAGTAAATATTTAGACATACTGGCAATATTTGTTAGTTCATTGCTCAGGCTAGATCATATTGAAGTAGTTTTATATTTCTCTCTTCTCTGCTGGCTGATTGAATAATAGATGATGATTGCTTTCCTAGCAAGGGGGACGACAAGTTCTACTGGTTTAATAAGACTGTCTTTTAAAAATCTAACAGGCACTGTGCACATTTTCTCTTCACCAGTGTGCCTCATGAGTTGCATGTCACTAACTGGTTGTGTTTTTAAGAGTACTTATCTTTTCAAAATATCTTATCACAATATCTGTTGAATATAACAGCAGAGAGATTTGGAAAGTTATCTTTATTACCATATAGATGGAGTTTTAAAATAAAATAATATCACACAACAGGGATTGTAAAATTTCTTTTTAATAGATAATACTAATTTTTTTCCCACTTGTGAATTAGTAAACTTACTTATCATGAAAATAAATAGGACAATCTTGGTTGTAATCTGAAATAACTTCATCTGATATTTCTGTTTGAATATTTTGCATTTAGTTTAGCTATTTTAAATTTATTTCATATAATCTACTAAATAGAATCAATTTGACTCTATATTTTCTTAAAAAACAATTATTTTCTATTATGAATCAGACTTTAATTTTAAAATATATTGGGTTGCTATTCCATTTTCAATTTAAAATTGCTTTAATTACCACTTGATAATTTAGGTTTAACTACTATTAATTAATGTGTTGTCTCTTTTTTAATCATTTTTCTTTCTGGTTCCCAGATTTCTCATTTTTGAAATAAATAGATTGAGTGGAAAATCTCAATACACCTTCATGCTCTAAACTTCCTTGATTTATAACTGTGCTTATAAACTGTAACAAGTTCATAATTAACATTTGCTCACACACAGAATGCTTTCAAAGCATTAGAAGATCTAAATAAGATTTTTCCAGTCCCTTTAAAATCCATATTTGCTGAATTTTGATGAATAAAGACTGATCTTAAAGTTCTTTTATTACTCATCCTTCTATTCATCAGCAGGTAACCTGGGCCATATAATGTTTATAAAATTCATTCTGGGCATCTTCATAAAACAATTATTTGCTTAGCAATCAATGTCAAGTGTGTATACCACAGACTCAGACATAGAACTGTACTTTGGTCCAGATTTGGAGTATATATGAAAAAAATATAATGATTAACCTTCAACAATAACTTTCTTTACTTTAAGCTGTAACAATTCATTAGCACTCATTTCAGTGCAATGGTGAATCTAGGGAGTTGGTAAATATGCAATTAAAAACAACAGCCATGTTTTGCTGTCTTGGAGGTTTCACTGGAGCGTGGATATGTGGATGAGAGTGGGGATGGTGCTAGACAGTAAACAAGTAATTGAACAGAGTAAAATGCTACAACAAACTAAAAGAAAAAACGTAAGAGACACAGAGCAACCTACTTCAGGTAGAGTAGTCTGGAAAGTAAATTCAGAAGAGGGTGCCTTCATCATAATTTTGAATGCTGGGAGACAAAGGAGGTTGTTCCTGAGGCACAGGTGGAGAAGTAGAGTTATCAGGAAAGGGTATGTCAAAATTTTCTTGGTTTTCTATTGCTGATGGGTTGTAGCAGTTGTTCCCAAATCTGGCCCACCATGAGACATGGTGGGTGGACCAATACTGATTCCCCAACTAGGGGTAAAATGCTGGAATCAGCATTTAAAAAAAAAAAAATCCCCAAAGTGCTATGATATTCAGTCATATTCGGGAACTATTGGGGGTTCAAACTGTTGAATGATGTTTTGACTTTATGACATGGCACCACAAATCTTTTCAGTTTCACCTCCTTTGCACTATAACCACCCAACATGCACCTGCACGCACACACACACACAAACGTGTGAGGCATGTACATGGATAAGTATGTATCATCACCAGGCTGCTGAATGCTCGTCTGACTGGGCTGTCATCCCATCAAAAACATCCCTCTCCTCCCCTGCTGTCTACTCTTTCACCTCACACTACCACACTGCTGCCTTGGTCAAATCTCATTAGTTCTTCAAAGACTAGTTAAGCCAAATTGGATACATTTGTTTATTCGTTTTTAAACTATTGATATTATTTCCTGCTTTCAAGGTAAGTCCTGTTTGTAAATACTCTGTAAACTTCCTTAACCTAGTTTTACCTTAAGGTATATTTTCCAGACGAAGCCATTCATTCTTACGACATTCCACACTTCTCCTTTCTTGTTTATTATCTCTTATCCCTCTCATTTCCTTGAGATCTTGCAGTGCTGGGGCAGGATATTTGGTTTTCGTTTCCACAGGGCTATATTTGTATCATTTTGAGATTTAGGATAATATATTAATCATTTGATCTAGGTTAGTAAGTTTAAGTAGGCTTTAAAAATTTTTGTTAAAAACACTCTATTTTTAAAAAATGTTGTACTCTACTGGCTTATTGATTGGATTTATTTGCTTGAATTTTCCCAACAGCAATTTATCTCTGAATGTTCATAATATTAAATATTTTATAAAAGTATCACTTATTTTAGGAAAGTACAACTAATATTATTGGTGCTGCTTATGATTTTTGGAAGTAATGCACATCTAATTAAACTGTGTGTGTGTGTGTTTGTGTGTGTGTGTGGTTTTGTTATAAGGCATTCTAAAGCTGTACTTTTCAAAGGAGAAACAAAAAAACATGTTGGCTTTTTATTATAATGTGAAATTTGTTATAGTAAGAGTTTTAATGGGAACATTTATTTTATTTTTGCTTGGAAGGTTATGAAATACATTCATAATTCTCTGCTTTTATGAACAACATGTTAAGAAAGGGAGTCCTTTAACAGTTTTACCCGTAGAAGTGGGAACAGTATGGTATCTGGGAACACAGTAGGACACTTTATTTTATTTTAGGTAACTATTGTTACCTCTGCGAACTATCACTAATGCTCAATTACGAATGAGTCTTCTTTCTTTGTTTTTCTTCCTGAAGCATGTCGATGGATTTCCATTTTTATTTACTATCTTCTTTGGCTGTTTGTACCAATTAATTAATTCTCATCTAGGGAAACCTGTTTCTGCACTGTGGATAGAATTAATCTAAGCTGCCTTTATTTTTGAAATACTTATTTACATTGTTTCTTTATTAAAAAATCATTTAGTCAATGTAATTTTCAACAAAGGGAGAAGTGAATAAAATATATTTGGGTCACCTTTGTATACAAGGCAATCTGACACAGTTGGGGACTATTTAACCATTTATACCACCAAATGTCCTCTTGAGAATTGTGTGGGTTTCCTTTTCCTTTCTTTGTTTTTGGGGAAGTATGGACAGGGATAGAGACAGCTTATGCCAGTCAGCAAACTCCCAAAGGGAAAAACATATGGAAGCTCAAAAAATAAAATATTTTCTGTTTCTCTAGACACTATTTTTAACGCAGACTTTAGAGAATCATTTCCATGTCCTGATGTTGAGCAAGCCTTCAATTATAACATTTCTCTGGCAGTTTAACAATGGAAAACTTGGGGCAGGAATATCTATTTTCCCATTGATCTCCTCTCTAAACAAAAGTATGGTAACATTCATCAATCTATCTGTTAGTTGATTTATCTCAACATCTATTTATCCATCATTTCCTCAACCAAGTGTCAGGAAATGCACACTGATGAAACTGAAGGAACTGGGAGAGGACAACAGCAGCAAGCCTGTTCTCTAGACACACAATCTGGAACTCTGTAAAGTATAGGCTCAGTCTACATGGTTGGGAGAGCTCCATATGTTAAGTTGAATTCTGAGGTTGAAGTTTAAACTGGAAAAAACAAAGTTGGGACTTAGAACATTGAGGAAATAGGAAATTATCCCAATGGCCTATTTAGTCAGACAGTACATTGAGAAAAATGCTCACCAATAAGTTCTCCAGCACGTTAAGATCTATAATCTTCCACACAACTCCTGATGTAATGGAGCCTCAGGAACCATTTGTATAAGTGGTCAGGGTAAAATGACTTTCTAATCACGAATATATAAAATGCTTTGAGAACATCTGTAAGATACAGAATACATATTTAAAGTAAGCTTTTTTGTTTTATTTTATTTTTACATTTTTATTTATTTAATTTTTTTTTTGCTTTTGGTTTTTGTACCTAGCATTTGTTCAAATAACTTTTCATATGGAGATACTAACTTAGTATACCACATCATTTTCTGAAGATTGTTCTATGGTAATGAATTAGTCATTTTCATGTAAGCTGGACTGAAGCCAGTGATTTGGAGTAATAGAAACTTTGTCTCATCAATCTCATGAACCATTTAGTCCCCATTTCAAGAACAATTTTAAGTCTATTTCTAAATGTGTATTCTATTTTTATGTTGTGCCAATCAAATATGCTCTCAAAGGAAAGCTGAGTGAATGGCTCAATTATGGCCGTTGATGCCTTTCCCCTCTATTTCAGGACCAGTGCTTCTAAATTACTGTGGGCAAAACTAGGATGTTTCCCATGGGGAAGAATAATGGAAGAGAGAAAAAAAAAAGATTTGATACTGTAAATTTAAAGTTCAGTATTTTAGCTTTGTTATTCCCTTAATTATAATTATAGAATTATAATTTTAATTTGTGACTTGGCTACAATTTTGAGACATTGTATTTGTTTTATTTGTCCATTTAAAAAATCATTTGTCAAAAATAATATTTTTGCCAAAAACCACAGAAGATTAATATTTTTTGTCAAAAAGTACTTTTGCATATTATGCATGTGTAATCAAAAAATAATACCTTAAGTATTAATAACCAATTCAAATGTTTTTTGGTACAGGAGTCAAGACATCCTTTAAGCATAAGTTAAACATGAAATATTTTCCCTATTAGGTGTTTTAAGTTTTCTAGTAGTACCAAAATTTCCCTTTTATAATAATTTTGAGGAAAGAGTGGGAAAATCATATCTGAATTAGAATATTTACTTTTAGTTGTCATCAATATTTGTAATTTGCCATGCATTAACTATCAATAAACAGCAGCTACATCAAATAAGTAAATATCAGTATTATCTTTGATAAAAAATGCTCTGTAAAGACTGGGAGTAAAAAATAACATGAATGTGTGACCTACGTACCATTTTTCTTAATGTCTAGACGTCATACAAATATTACCACTGTCTTATTTCTTTGACTATAAGTGTTTCTGAAGAAGCTGATGTGATTATCTTAAATTAGAAGATGCCTGCTATAACCTGAGATATGTGTTGCTATTCCTTAGCAGAACTTTGGTTTTTATCATTATGTTTTTGGGGCACTTTTTGGCCAAGTTTAATAATTTCATACATCCCTGATAACAGTATTCTAATGCAATCACATTCTGTTTTCTGTTCAACTTCTTCGAATTTTTTGTATTTTTATTTTCAATAAGCAAAATTTTTTTTCTGAAAGTATTTTAGTTACATAAATATTCATAACATGTTCCATAGTGACATTTTACTACATTTTTTCATTATACATCCTATCTGATTTTATCTACTGGCACTTTTTTCTTTTCCCAGTTAAGAGATGCCCTTTATCTCAAAATGTGGCGATTATGTGGGCTAAAATTATTAATTTTTAAACATATGCCTATATAGTTTAATGTGAAATGTGAACAAACTAGAGAAAATCAGTGTGAAATTATCTTTTTATTTATTTAGCACAAATTCCAAAATGTGAAGCATAGCTATACTTCATATCAAATTATTCTTATAGAAAGACTAGATTCCTCTCCTCTAGATTGCCTGGGATTATTTGTTTAGACCATTAAATGTTCATTTGTTATCTGTTAAACACTTAAACCTAAGGATAAACAAATTCTAGATTACCTTTTTAAGAGTTTCAGTTTTCAAATAAAAAATTTATTTCTATGTGTGTAGAAAATGGTCTTTTGTCACTATATCCTAAGCTATAAAACGAAAGAAAGTTAAATAGAACAAAAAAAGGAACTATGCTACTTCCTGTAACTGATGGTAAATTCGTAAGACTAATACTATAAATATGGCATAGTTTAACATTTTTGGAATAATTCAGGCCAGGGGCAGTGGATCACGCCTGTAATTACAGCACTTTGGGAGGCCGAGGCAGGTAGATCACGAGGTCAAGAGATCAAGACCATCCTGGCTAACATGGTGAAATGTCTCTACCAAAAATATAAAAAAATAGCTGGGCTGGGTGGTGCACACTTGTAGTCTCAGCTACTGGGGAGGCTGAGGCAGGAGAATGGCGTGAACCCAGGAGGCGGAAGTTGCAGTGAGCCGAGATCGCGCCACCGCACTCCAGCCTGGGCAATAGAGCGAAACTCTGTCTCAATAAATAAATAAATAAATAAATAAATAAATAAACAAATAAATAAATAAATAAAATACTTATTATGTCTTGTATAGTGACTAACATAAGGTACGTTCTCCATAAGAAATGTTAAATAATTAACAAATATTAAAATACTTCGTAAAAGCTTTTACTTATAAAGTAGGAAATATATGTATTGATATGATTATTTAAAAGTAAAGTATATAGGTAAGATGGGAGGGAAAGAAGGGAAGACAGAAGGAAAAATAAAATAAATGAGAGAGGGAGAGGTAGGAAGGAAGACAGAGAAAGATGGGAGAGGGAGAATGTCAGGAAAGAGATTTGCTTCAGGGATAGTTGTCAGGACTCAGGACAAGTGCTTATAAAATGTGGTTAGGAAGCATTCTTTTTTCTTTTTTTTGCCTGTGCGTTTAACTAAATTCCTTTTACAGTCAGTTTTGCTCAGGATAAAGGGATGGAAAAACCTTAGTATTAACTTACAAGTAGTGCCACCAAATTGTAAGGTGCCAATATCAGACACCTTGTGTTCCACTCTATATTCTCTTCAAAAAATACAACCTTGAGAATTCATTTATTAAAATATTTTGCATACATTACCTCATAGGTGGTCTTGAGTTTGTTTCATTGTGATGAATATAATATTGAATTTTAAGACCTTTGAACAATGGCAATATATATTTTTAAAAGGGAGAGTGGATAGTTAAATCAAAATGACTGCTCAAATTTGTAAAGGTAAATAAGAACTGAGCCTTGATTATCATAGATTTAACTGAAAATAAAAGCAACAGAATCCAACTACCTTCGTTAGCTATTGTGCATGATTTTTTTGTGAAAGTTATGATATATGATTGTTTGTATGAAGCAAAAACATGTTTAATTCAAAACTATCACTCTACCAACAAGGTCATTCTGGTTGTTATTTTTATCACCACAGTCATGGGGCATAGGATTATATTTTCTTCTATATAATAATAATATAATACAAATATATATATATGAAATGGTAAACTGTAACAGCAATAAAATTAGCTTTCATAGCATCATCTTCAAACCAAAATATATCAAAATCTATAAGAAGTTAATTATTAATCAAACTGGGTAATCTTCAATTATTAAATGATTATTTCCAAATAATAAGATTTAATAATTATTATGAATAAAATTAAACATTCTTTTCTCATGTATTATGAAGAAATGATAAATGTAAATCTATACTTACAACGGTCAGAAAAAATTCCCCTGAAAGTGGAACAAGTTTTAACCCCAAAAGGACATATTTTTAAAAGATTAATCTGTTTTGTGTCCTTTGGTTTGCTAATAGCTTCCACTTATTAAATATTCTCTGATGAGAAATTACTGCTTTTAACATCCAGTCTCCTATTTTAAAAACCCTACTTTACAGGTATTAGGAGAGATCTAAGTGAAAAATAAGCCCAGTGAATGGCTGTTCAATTAGGGTGTAAAACCTTTTTAAGTGCCATTTCAAAAAGTCAGACTATGTACTTGATAGAACTTAGAGGAGGTCATGTGCCAAAGAATTACTCATAATGATTTAATTCATTCATTTCATAGATTATAGTTTCTGCTCTTCTGTTGATGCACAATGGATTTATGTGTTTAACTCCCATTAACACTAATAGTGGCTTTGTGCATAAAACAGAAATACATTTAAAAGACATAGTCTCTTTTCCTGTCTATTAACCATCTACCGTCTTTTCTTTGTAAAGGAAAAAATTTGAATTTAGATAAAAATTTTAAATTCTATTATAAGGACATTTAAATTATTGACAGTTTACTTAGAGAAATATTTTTATCATTTAAAATCTTCTAAAAATGATTACCTTAAAAATGCAGAGGTTTTTTTTATCCCTGTGATTATTTGGGATTAGTTTTTCATGTTGTTTATTGAATCATTGCAGGACATTTAACCCTTGAAATTAATAAGTATTCTATTGCTATAGATAACATTAGGCTTAAAACCCTCTCTTTCCCTAGGTTAAACATTTAAAAAATTGTTTTTCATTGTAAGACTCTATTTTGACTATCTTACTTCTTAAGTCTGATGTAGCTCTAGTGTAGAGAACATTTAAAATGGTAGTGGCAATGTGTCCAAATTAACTTCTCTGACAGATGGATTGCAAAGGCAAAATGGACATTTATTTGATGTGATACTTAGGAATCAGCATAAAGACCTGAAGGTGCGTTGAGTTTTGTTTCTGGAGATAGTGCATACAACTTATTAGTGTTGTGCAGTTTAAGGTGAGTTACAGTAAGATAATATACAGACTTTACGTGATCTATCTGTCTCTTTTGCAGTAGATGAACATAAAAACTCTAAGTAATAATAATTGGAAGACAATAAAGTACACTTCTCTAAGTAACCAAATCATGCATTATTCATGCTACAATGTACATACAGTATACATCTATGTAAATATTACTTTATTTGAAAGCTACAAATGATGGTTATTCAAAATAATTTGTTAAAAAGATAAAACCAAAACATAACTCTTACTGTTCTTTCACTGGAAACCCTCTAATGAATCCCCATGTCATTCAGAGAAAAAGACAATTTTCTTACAATGGCCTATAGTGCTTTAATAGAAATATAATGAAAGACACCTGTGGTGGTATATTTTCTAGTAGTCACATTGATACAGGTATAAAGAAACAGATGAAATTATGCTTAATAATGTATTTCATTTAAACCAATCTATCCAATATATGATCGTTTCAATACATAATTGAAAATGAAATTTTTTTCATACTTATCCTAAATTCTAGTGGGTATTTCACACTGACAGCACCTCTCAATTTGGGCGCAAAATTTTTAGTAGGAATACTTGATTCATATTTATATTCAAAAAGTTAACAGTTGAGAAAGATTCACATACCCAAGATGTTTGCAAATATATTTTAAAATGTTTCAGTAATTGAATTGACTACCAAGAATAACGTGTATCCATATTATTATTATGACAAAAGTGGTTCAGTTTTAATATTTAAATTGATTAAATGTAACGTACAATTAAAAAAAATTCCCGGTTGCATTAGCCACATTTTGAAGGCATTGTAAGTTCATGTGACTACCATATTGCACAGTGCAGCTGTATTTACCAGAGCTCCCGTTACCACTTTCACCTCATTTTCTGCTACTCCTTCCCACTTCTCTCCAGCCACATTAACTGTCTTACTCTGCCTTAAACCCTCCACATACTCTCCTGCCTTAGAGCCTTTGTACTATTTCCTTTGCCTACGATGCTATTCGTCCCAACTTTGGCATTGCTGACTCCCACAACTCCTTCAAATCTTTGCTAAAATCTCAACTTCTCAGTGGTGCTTACCCTGACTCATTATTGAGAAAATCACTCTCCCATCTCACCTCTACCTTTATCCTGTTCTTATCTTTTTCTCCCTGAAAATCTTATGTCTTGCCAATATAATAAATGATACTCTCTCCCTCCCTTATGTTGTTTATTTTCTTCCTTGATTAGAATAAAAACTTGAAGTTGTGACAACTTTTTATCACTTTATTTCACTGACATATACCAAGCAGTTAGAATAGTTCCTGGCACATAATTTGTGTTCAATATGTTTCTGTTGAATTAATAATTAAATAGCTTCCTACAGTTTGGATTTGCAACCTGAGGTAGCAACCTGGGGGGCAGAAAATGGGCCTTATAGAAGAGGAATTATTTCATGATAATTCTGTTTAAATCAGCCAGCTCCCTCACTAAATGTCTGTTGGGAAAAGAAAAAGTGTCAGCATTGGAGAGGGAGTCAGGGAACCTAATTTTTGTTCTCACGTATATCAGTAATAACCTCACATTTCCGGGATAGAGATTTTTCTTCTCTATATTATGAGAAAAATGGAATAAGTATCAACTTTCCTTCCATTTTTAAAAATCCTACTCAGAGGTATTCCTCTCAAAAAAAAAAAAATCCAGAAAAATTTGAATAAACCAATCCACTAGGAGCAAGATGCAATTTAGCATAGCTCAGTAAGCAACCTGATGCTGTACATATTTGCAAGGTTTTGCACTCCAAGAGCACTGTAAAAGCAGAGCCCATAAAGGAGGGGAAAAAAGAACAAATACTTGAGAAGAAATTGTCATAGCCAATATTTGAGACAATGAATACAGAACTTATGATGGTGAGAACTTTACTGAAGGACATGTGCCTCTCAAAACATTAAAATGTACCTAATTTAGTGATCAGGCCTAAGCAGTTTTTTTGTTTTTTTTTTTTAATATCATAAGGTCTCCTAAAACATAATTTGAACCAATAGAAGTTTAGCAAAGCCTGGAAATGATATAACTTGCAACATTTAGATTTTCTTCTGTAAATAGTTGAGGTCTGTATGACATGGAAGTTGTGAAAATAAATGACTATCTTCAATTAGGAAGTCTTCATTTAAGAGGGGAATATTTAAAATGGTAAAATAAGGCAGAATGTGGAAATTTCTTTACAAATTGTACACATGTCTAGAGGATTCCAGAGATAGAAAAGATTATTCTTTGCCAGAAAATGTAAAGAAAAACTATTGGAGGGGTATCGTCAACTATTTTAACTTGTTTGTGGGTTACATTTACTTAATATTCTCAGTTTGTTTGTTCTTATTGTTGTTTTACTATCTCCCTTATTTGGTAGTAAATACAAGCATGTGTAAAATTTTAGGAGTCAGAAACTAGACCTGATTTCTGATCAGGAATTTAAATCCATGTTGTAAGTGAATCTCACAAAAAGTAATATTTATTTCTCTGGGGCAAAATGTCACATTAGAGCATAATAAGCGATGGTGAGCTATTTTAATTCTCCTAAAATGCAACACAACTATTGAATTAAAATTCGTTACATTCTTGAGAGTTTATAACTTTTTCATATACTCCATTAGATAACAACACTGAGTCATTTCAAATGTAGTTACATTAAAAGGCATGTTGGAATGTACTTTAATTACCATGATAATAGTGACAATGCTTACCAGGAAAAGAAAAGCATATTGTTCAATTAGTGTTCAAATAAAAACAACTGTATATCTTTTAGAAGAAAATGTTCCAGATTCTGCAACTTCAAAAAAAAAAAAAGGTAGTTACCATGTGCCAACTACTTTTTTGATGTTCTCCATGCATTACCTCATTTAATCTTTACATTTAATCTTTAAATAATTATCCTCCCTGCATAACTAAAGAGAAAATTAAGGCATTAACAAGTTAAATAACTTGTTCACGTTAGTGATGCAGCCAGGATTTTAACATGAGAAATATGATTCTAGCCACTGAACTACTAACCACCAAACTATAAAAAAGAAATTGTGTGTGTGTGTGTGTGTGTGTGTGTGTGTGTGTGGTGTGGTGTGCATGGTTTTTCTGAGATGGAGTCTCGCTCTGTCACCCAGGCTGGAGTGAGGGCAATGGCATGGTATCAGCTCACGGCAACCTCCGCCTCCAGAGTTGAAGCCATTCTCCTACCTCAGCCTCCTGAGTAGCTGGGATTACAGGTGCGTGCCACCACACCCTGCTAATTTTTGTATTTTTAGTAGAGACTGGTTTTGCCATGTTGGCCAGGCTGGTCTCGAACTCCTGACCTCAGGTGATCTGCCTGCTTTGGCCTCCCAAAATGCTGGAATTACAGGCATGAGCCACCACACCCGGCCATATTGTTGATAAAATTATTATCTACTTCCAAAGATAATTTTCGGCTGGGCATGGTGGTTCACACCTTTAATTCCAGCACTTTGAGAGGTCGAGGTGTAAGAGTCACCTGAAGTCAGGAGTTCGAGACCAGCCTGACCAACATGGTTAAACTCCATCTGTACTAAAAATACAAAAATTACAAGGGCGTGGTGGCAGGCACCTGCAATCCCAACTACTCTGGAGGCTGAGGCAGGAGAATCGCTTGAACCCAGGAGGTGGAGGTTGCAGTGAGACAAGATTGTGCCACTGCACTCCAGCCTGGGCACCAGAGAGAGACTCCGTCTCAAAATAGTAATAACAATAATAATAATAATTTCACCAGCAATTTTAGAATACATTGTATATGTTTGACTGAGAACGCCTTAATCAAAACAACTTGGGAAAGCAAATCTAAGACTTTTAATATTGCTTCTGTCTAGGGAAGCTAGAGAACATCTCAGAATTATTAATAGATCAAAGTGCTCTTTACCTGGAAGTTATGTATTGTATCTAGTCAAGGCCAAAAGTAATTAAAGAATATTGCCCTGTGTTTAGTGAATACTAGTTGAGGTTTGTTTGCAATGTTCCTATATTATAAAACATTTTATTATAGTGGAAACTTTTTTATTGGAAAGGGTGACTAAGGCTCTAATAATAAGTGATACTTATGAGGCAATGCTTTTATTTTTTTTCTTATTGTCATAAAATACCTTTACAGAGCAATATTGTATCCAGATATCTCTCTTTTTTAATATAGCCCTACCATAACTGTTATGTTGAGATATTAAGTTGCTTGGTGTTTGTAATTTTGTATGTGCACTGTTGCCCTGAAAATCATGGGTCATTCATTTTAGGATGCTAACTCTATTCTTGTAAACCCAAACTATAACATCTCCACTGATTTATTTAATAAGTATATATTAAATAGTTTTTATTTCTTTTGAAATGCACCCCTAGGTCTCTAATATAAAATGATGTAACAATTTCTTATAAACTGCATGTTTTTACATTAAACAGCTTAAAATACATTCTCGAAATAAAAGTAAATGAGATTATATATTTAATTCAATTTTGACATAAAACTGTATAAAGAAAAGTTTTTTGTCAATGCTCTGCTGTGGTTTTGTTAATAAAAACAGATTATTATCTAATGAAAGTTAATAGTAAGCCAAATTACATATGAAATATCATTCGTTAGTAAAGCACAATTAACCTATTTGATATTACATGACTTGTTTCTTACTATTGCGTAGGATTAAAATTTTGGCATCATGTTTGGTTGGTGCACACAAACTCTGCCAAGCAAAATAAATTAAAATAACCTTTATAACTTTTTGCTCCATTGAGAGTTTTCAATGTTTAGTTTTTAAATGCAGACTTAACTTCATTAAATTATACGTGGAATGTATATGGAAATATGGCTCAAAATAATGGTGCCAGTGATTTTACTGGGAAAAAGTCATTTAGTAAGGGATAAATGGCTGGTAACTAAACTCTAAGAATTTTTGCATTTTTGTATCACTGCCTTTCTTTAAATGATCCTATTTTTAAAATTTGTCCTGCAGAAAGAGAAAGAACAGAAAATTCATATCTGGTGATCAACCAGTAACATGTCCTTTGTGTTCCTGGACATCTCAGAAAACAAATCATATTGAAGTACATGACATTAATATAAATAAACTGTTCCTGCTACAGATAGAAGGTTGTGATTTTGATTTAGGATCAGCCACCAGCTTTTCAGAGCTAAGAACAAAGCAAATATATTTAATTTTGGATTAACATAGCATCTTGTGGAATATATTTGTATATGGCTATATATAAAGCCAGGATAAAGACTCTTTTGTAGCATTACATCATCAATGTAAACTTTTACAAAAATCATTGAAATAAAGACATTCATATGCAGATATCTTATCTGCACAAAGCCCAGAAACTGTCTTCCAATTTTACATTCATAACTTTCATTCACAAGATCATAGTGAATAGATGTTCTCTGAAATGCCCCATTCTTTCTTTCTTTCTTTTTTTTTTCTCTTAAAATGAGCCTTTTACAATCTATTAGGGGAAAATATAGCCGGTAACCCCATTGAGCATGTTCAAGTATATGCAGGTCATAACCTTATGCTATTTGTAAGCTTATGTTTTTCTTTAATGTCACAAGAATTTCTTTCATGTCACTCTTGCCGTAGCACTTTATAATAAAGTTTAGGTAGTCTGCACTTCCAGGGTGTCTCATATAATACAGAAATGCTAACAGTGTATATTAACATTATCACTGTTGTAACTACCTTATAAAAAAAAGAGGCCATTATAAGTGATCTCATTTTACTGCAATACATTTTTATTTAGTGGTTATATTGTTTTGCCAATACTGAGAAAATAAAGTAAATGCAAATGGGCTTAGTTTAAATTAGATTTTTAGGTATAAATTAATTTTTATTATCTAAAAGAAAAAATTACATTCTAAGTGATAATTAATCTTTTTGCAAACCTAGCTATTTCCATGAAATAGCAGAAATTTAAACATATAAAACATTCATAATGTAATAATTGAATAAAATTAAGCAATGCCAATGCACATATTATACTATTTTATTTATAACAGTTATTCACATAGGAAGTATGAGATATTTTATCAATTGTCTTTCCTGGATATAGGTACATCTTATATTGACATGAACTTTTGTATGTGAACTTATAAAATGCATGTGGGCTCATAGGTATAATCTATATTGACTAAAGGAATGTGCGTTCCTTCCTTTAATTGTAGAAGGATTACCTAATATTTATGAAACTATATTATCTATTTTTCATAGGGTTATTAACAAGAAATACTTTAAATATTGATGTTCACAATGAGAAATAAAGCAACACACATAAAGTGGAAACAGAAACATAGTGTTAGGAGTATTTAACCATGCTGGTATAAGAAAATCGTATAATAATAAGACAATGCTGAATGCAACACAGTCATTATCCTTTGGGCACATAATTTCAATTTCTGTAGTTTTCTCTCCACATTTGATTGATATAATAAATACAAAAATAAAAAAAATTACATAGCAATAGCTTGAAGAATAATAGTAAGACCACAACCTGTAATTAAAATACCTTTAAATTTTACGTATATTTGTTATATTAAGACTTACTTTTCCAGATAATACCCCTTTAGATAATGCATAAACCATGAACGCAAAATAAACATCATCACTAAAATAGAAGTGTTTTGGACTGTGAACTTGAGAAGGAAGGATGATGAAGGATGTACTATCACATTTCCACTCTTTGATACACTATTGGAAACCAAAAAATGAAAAAGGAAAACACAAAATAAACTTTAGAGGTAATAGTAAGTATTGAAGTGTCAAGAAAAAAAACTTCTTAAATATCTCAAACAAATATCATAATACTATTTTTGAGAAATCTCAGAAGGGATTTTAAATTTCTGAAAATGGGATATGAACTCAGGTATATCAATTAACTTAAATGATGTACTTCTTTATACCTTGGTCGGTTCTGTAGCTGGTCAGACCAATCTTTACAACATTACATATAGATAGGAAGCTGGCTACCTTTAGAAATTTCATTACATGCCTCTTAACTCCTATTTTATGTGAGTATTTCACTGTGTAGTCACTTTAGCGGACCATGGATTCATGCTTGGTCAAAAACAGAAAATACATATCATTTCTGTTTAGTCGATATGTCAGGAAGATTTAAATGCTGAAAAAAGGAGTAGGCATTCAACAAAAGCTGAATATCTCAGTCCAGACAGTTTCAAGCATATTCCTTCAATTGTCATAGACATCAGATACATTATACATCATATAATCAGAGACATTAGCAACATTAAGCTCAGAATTGTCGGTAGCAGTACCAAAATAATAATCTTAATCTAATAGTACCTCAGGTTCCTTTCTCAATGGATATAATATAAATATTTTGAAATATCAAAAATCTTCATTTGAGCTCTCTCTTTATGCTTATGGCATATAAAAAGAGAATTTTTATCACATATTTGGGTATTAAGTAATTCTCAGATGACCTCTTATTTGTTCACTTAAATTTGAGTAAACCTATCCTTGTATTATTCCTCTAGGTCCAGATGTTTTTAGTCCTATATTATTTTTTTCAAGTAGTTTAAATTATTTTTATAAAACAATTAAAAATATTTTGAAACAACATTTATGTTTCTAAAAATTACACTACACATTCACCTTCTTATACTAAAACTAATTATTAGAATACAATCCAGGACTGTACATTACATATATAGGTCAGGGAAATTAGAAATATTTCCAAAATAATGAGGAAATACTGAAAATTTCTGAGCTTAGGGAATCTGAGTCAGTACCCACAATTTATTTTACTTGTAAATCAGTAACTGTTACTATAATTCCAATAATCCTAAATTCATTTATTTTTTGCTTTCTTTCATCATGAAAAATTACAATTCAATATATAGTATAATAAGTGAAAATATTCATAATGTTGATCAGATTCCATTTTATCTTAAGTTTATGTTATAGTCAGTCATTGATGTTCCTGTTAAGTTGGTGTCTGTTTCATCAGACAAATACGCATTGAAATCAGACAAACATCTACCCACTATGTGACCATGGGCCATTTTCAGAATTTCCCAGAGATTAGCTTCTATCAAAAACTAAAATGAGTTACCTCATGTAAAACTGCTCAGAGCGCATATGACTTGGTAGAGACATAATATGAAGCAACGTCCTCCATTCTGATGACCTCATTTTGAATATTTGAAATATTTGGAAACACTCCTTGTTTATACCAAGTATAAGATTCATAAACTTTGGCCTGGTTATTTCAAAAAAATAATACACGACTTTTTCTACACTTTGTGGATAACAATTTCCTTTATTTTCTAAATAGAACAAAGGAGATTGTAAAGTGAGTAACTCTTCCAGGTTTAATCATCTCAGTGATTCCTTTTGAGTTTGGAAAGATAGGTTACGTCCCACAGGGTGAAGGACAGCCTGCTTCTGGCCATCTTCCAATTCCTCAGCTCTGTCTAACAGCTCCACTCCAGGGCATCGAGGAAGAGGCCGGCATTTCTCCTCTCTGCCTGTAAAGCTGACACGTGGGATATTACAAAAGAGTAAATACCATTGTCTGTAATGCATATCTGTCTTGGTATAAAGAAGGAATGTTTTCAAATATTTCAGAAAATAAGACAAAGGTACATAGCCAAAAATAATTCAGTTCCCAAGTATCATTGCTAAGTGTTTGTTATCTTGATGCAGAACAGTTGTGAAATGTTTGTGATAACTAATATCAAAAAAACTTTCATAAATATCACCTCATTTTCCTTCACAAACCATTCTATTTTATTTGGGGCATATATATTATCCACATTTAATAGAGGAGGAAATGAGAAATAGAAAATTGTTATTATTAGCTCACGTATGCTCAATTAGTAAATGACAAATTCAGATCACAAGCGTCTCTTCTGTCATTTGGCAGATATTTGCCTTATATTTGTATATACATCGAAACTAGGATACTGTCTTGAAAATCCAAGGCAGCAAAGAAGCATTGTAAGGTAGGAATAGAAAATAATAGTAATATCCAATAAATTGATATGTACTTTGCTTGGGACCTTATTACATATTATGTCTTACATTTTTGCAAAATATATTTAACTGCACATATACTTTACAAAGAGCTTGAAAGATTCTTGTTTGTACTACAATGCACAGGGCATATTATTTTGCAATACATGGACATAATGCGACTCTTTATGAAGGACAAAGTTATTTCACAGTTCTAAAGGCCATGCTCTTTCTTTAGAACAGTGACTACGGATTGAAAAATGCAAAGCCCTTTGCTCTTTGTAGTTATTTTTCCTCTCAGTTAATGGCACAAATCGCTGAACTTTTCTGAAACTGAATACATTTCTTGACCTGTGACATAGAAGTGACTTGATAACTAGGTGCCGGGGTGCTTGAATACATAACAATGAAGGTATTCTTGTAGTTGCCTAGAATTTAGGGCACACGGTTAGGGGTCTTATTGCAAGGGTGCAGTGGGATGATTTTTCAGTAAAAGCCAGAATGAGGAGCCATCATATTACAAGTAGTCTGAAAAACATAATCTGAAAGAACAAAGGCATATTTGATGATGGGGAATTGTGTAGCAATGTTGGCAGCAAACACAAAGCTTCTCCATCCCTTCCTAAAACACACGCTAGCTGTTTAGCGAAATCCAACTGAGTGCATATGTCCTGAAGAAGTTTAAAAAAATAACAATGTTGAGGCAAAAAATTTCCAAGTTGTAGTTTTCATGTTTAAAATATCATTTTACAACTTCGAGAATGCTGTATTTGGTTGATTTTAGCCATCTGTGTGTTTCCATATCATATGGATATTGTGTATATGTGTACTATACCATATACATATGTATATGTGTATTATATACATAGTATATGTGTATTATATTATATACATGTGTTATGGAAACACATCATACATATATCATGTCTGTCCTCTAAATAAGAAAGCTTATTTTTCAGATGCCTGGGCTATAAGTGTCAACTCTTAATCTTGATAAGGTCAGAAAGGGGTAAAATTAAAATTGTGAAAACGGTGTTGCCCAAACAATGAAAAAGGGGAGCTCTAACCTGCACTTTTCTCTCTGCCTTCAGGGAAATTCTGATTCAATTTCAATCAAGAATATAACATGAAGAATGAATTTATTCCATGTAACAAAGTTTACCTTTTCTTCTCCTTCATCTTTCACCTAAACTTTGGTAAAGATTGTGCACACCGTTCTTTTGAAATGCTATCTTCGTCTTTCACATACATGATCTTGAATATAAAGAGATCACAGCCTTAGGAGAGACAGCTCTTAATGAAGTGCTGTCAATGAAGTTGACAATGAACCTTAATGAAGATCCGATTAAGGATGCTCTACTCTAGAATACCCTATTGGTTGTCTTATGGTATATAGTTTTGGGAGAACTAAAAGCCACAATAATAAAATAATTAAAATGTTTTTCTCTAACTCCAGAAAATATTTTTAAAATCTCCTTGATCATTTTTTTGTCTTTTGTCTTTCTTTATTGACCCTAACTATTGTGGCTGAATTACCGAGCAAGCAAAATAGAGGCATGTAAACACAAACTGCCACAGATTTATATTATAAAGAGCCACAACATGTATTCTACAGAAACAGAAAACAGTGTTAGCATTGAATTTAAGTTCCTATAGAAAGAAATAGTCCATTAAAAATAAGCCTATAATGATCGATTGCATTTCTACCCACCATAAATACTTTTACTGATATACTGACTTAGCCATTAGCATGCAATGAAGTACCCAATTATTATATGCCCTGCTGTTTTCAACTCTTGCGTTGTCAGTTCTCAGTTTTGAAATAAGCTGCGTGATGTGAAAGGCATCGCTCCTTCTGTGACTGGTCTGCTGAGCTGATATGCTTTCTGACTTCCTTAGGCTTTTCTGTAGTTGTAAGTCAATGCTAATAGCATGATCCATGCTTTTGGTTTTAAACCATTTACACTGCAAAATAATTCTTTGAAGTATTTCTTTATGTATACCAGAGTTTCTTTCTATTTTCCCCTTAGAGTATCTGAAATGCTTAAGCTAAAATGTGCCTTTAGCAAAAAGAAATATTCATTTTGTTTTTTAGAATAGTAAACTGCCTTCGTTCACTTCGAAACATATGAATGCCACCTACTTTTAGGGTCTTTCAGATCCAATTATCACCTTGAACAGTTGGTTGAGAAAAAAGCAAAATAACTTCAGTATAGGAATGTAGTAAACCAGTGTTCTCCAATATAGAGTAGCCACTAGCCACATGAGTGATGGGGCTTTGGCTAATCCAAATTGAGATTGTGAAGACTTAATAGGAAACAAAGAATGTAAAATGTCACATTCATAACTCTTACACTGATTACATGGTGAAATGATAATATTTTCATAAGCTGGGTTAAATAAAATACATTACTTAAAGTAAATTCACCTGTTTCTTTTTAATGTTTAGAATATGGCTACTAAAAAAATTAAAATTATATATGTGACTAGCATTTATTGCTTAAATTCTATTTTCTTAGATAGCTTTGTTTCAATGAATGGATTAATCAACAATGTATTTTAGGTATAAATTTCAATATTAGGTTGCTCTTGATTTTTTCTTTTTTAAGTATAATTCTGTTTATTTTATAGATTCTTAATGATAGGAGACCCTTGAAATTATTTTCAGCTTTTTAAGCAAGTACTTTTAGGTTATTAAGTTTAATTGATAGAAATTATATACAGTTATGTTAGGCAGCATAATGTTTTGATATATGTTTACCTCATGAAATTATTAAATCAAGCTAAGTAATATATTCATCACCTCACATACTAATTTTTTTTATGGTGAGAATATTTAAATTCTACTCTGTTGGCAATTTCCAGGTATGAATTATACCATCAACTATAGTCACCAAGCTGTATAATAGATTTCCAGAACTTTTTCAGCCTAACTGAAACTTTGTAACCTTTTACTAACATCTTCCCAATTACTTCTATCTCCTAGCTCCTGGTAACCTCTATTCTGCTTTCTGCTTCTATGAGTTGGACTCTTTCAGATTCCACATGTAAGTGAGATCAGGCAGTATTTGTCATTCAGTGCCAGCTTGTTTCACTTAGCATAACATCCTCTAGGTTCATAGTTGTTGTTGCAAAGGACAGTATTTTTTTCTTTTTTAAAGTCTCAATAGTATTCAATTATATATATATGTATATGTATTACATATAAATATGTATGTATGTGTGTTTGTGTACACACCACATTTTCTTTATTCATTCATCATTGATGGACATTTCAGTCGATCCCTGTTAGTTTATTCTTAAGATATTTTAAAGACCTTTGGAGGAATAATTACTACTAGAAAAGAAGACGTGCTACTTTGCTGCATATCACTTCTTAGTTAGTTTTTCTTTACAAGTCTCTATTGCTTTTCCCCCAGTAATCGTTTCATCCTGCCTTTTACTTTCCAGAATTCTTCATATCCATGTGTGATTGTCTTTAAACACAAACTACACAAAGCAAAGGCAATATATATAACGAGTTGACCCCATCCATGTTAAATGAACCATCAATTAATTCCGCAAACTATATCATTCTAATTCTCTCTTATGCCTTGCTTTTTTTTCTCAGTATGCCTATGAGCAGCACATTTGATCACCTGGGAGTATTTAAAGAACAATTTTTCATGGGTAGGGCATCAGGGTGAGCACAGTGATTGCAAACAAGAGTTAAAACTGCACATCGTCATAATGGGAAGAGTCTAGACTTGGATTTCATTTTTTGAAAAATTACGAAGATGTTTAGGACAAAAACTTTTTTTATTTCCACATAGAATACTTAAGAAGGCTCTGCTGTCTATAATCAGATTTTAGTGGAAGTTTTAAAGTAAGAAAAATACCAACACATTACTAAATAGGAAAAAAATATTAAGATGTGATACTAAGATACTGCTACTAAAAATTCTCAAGAATAGGCGTTCTATCTCAGAAGTAGCTCATACAGAAATAAGAGTACGTTAAATTTTTTATGTATATTATTTTTTCCAGTAGGGAAAATTTACTCTATATTTCAATACAGACTTTAGTCAGAAGCCTAAAAGAAAGCCAACAAATATGCTCATAGAATGGATTCCATGCCTCTCCCTGTCTCCCACTTCAGTCTTTCCACAACTGGGAAAGAAGACTAGGCATTTGCTTTCTAGTGTAGTATACTAGATGGTGTTTATTTTTAAAGAAAATATAGATTTAGATCTCCTAATGAAATATCAAAACATACAAGAATAAACTTTTTTTTTTTTTTTTTTTTGAGATGGAGTCTCGCTTTGTTGCCCAGGCTAGAGTGCGGTGGTGTGATCTTGGCTCACGGCAGCCTCCACATCTCGGGTTCAAGTGATTATCCTGCCTCAGCCTCCAAGTAGCTGGGATTGCAGGTGTGCACCACCATGCCTGGATAATTTTTGTATTTTTAGTAGACACGGTTTCACCATGTTGGCCAGGCTGGTCTGGAACTTCTGAGTGTAAATGATCTGCCCACCTCTGCCTCCCAAAGTGCTGGGATTACAGGTGTGAGCCACCGCATCCATCCAGAATAAACTTTGTAAACAGCATTTTATTTATCGCAGCATGTCCAAGGTCAGATATTTATTAGCACTTTATATATGGTGTAGCCATCTGCTTTCATAGCAATATTTTGTCTGTATTTGAGGACATTGTAAATGTTTGTACAGTTTTCTGAGAATCACAGGAGTGCAAAATGTTGGGAACCAGGAAATGGATGATGCTTCAGTTAAAGAAAAAAGAAGAGTTCTGTGGCTTGTACACATAAAACATAAAGATAAAATTGGAATTCTAGAGCAGTTTCTTGAGGGAAGCAGCAGAAAGGTCAAAAACTTCTGATGACAGCAGAAAAAGGTAATCCCTTTTGTAAGATCCAAAAGATGATCCTTGCATGCATGAATCTCGGTTAACAGAAAGGTCAGTGAGTAGTTTACTGACTGTCTCAAGGGCTTTAGCTACGTAATGCCAGGCGCCCACATGTTCCTGGATATTTATAGAATGAGTATAGGATAGAAACAATTGTCTGATTAATTTTAGATTCTTTATCTTTTCATCTGGATATATTTGGCATCATGTAAACAATATTATGTAACAGACATAAGTTATTCTGCTCATGTGTTGGCAAGCAAATAAAATTATTCCTCTTCAAATTAAAAATGTTCAGTGAGCTTTATACATTTTACTTATTAATCTTCCAGGATTACCCTTCCATGTAAATTATGGAGTTGTAATGGTAGTTTCTTTTTGCCCACATTCAGTTTATTTCGAATTTTTACTACAAAGAAGGCTTTTAAGAAATAAAGCAAAATGAAAGGGTAATGTTCATCTTCAACATGTTACTCTTAGCCATAGCTAATTAATTTGTAATATATTTTTTGATGAATGAGCTTTATATCTATTATGATATTTGAAAGTTTTCCCATATTTTTGTGACAATTTATTGAATGCACACATGTTGATAATAAAACTATTCATCATTTTTGAAGTGAAATTCTATGTGTCTGCATAACATTACCTCCTCATATATTCTTACACATCCTAAAGGAAGTCCAACCACAAATAACAGCTAAAAAACTGCCCCAGTTTTTTCCAAAGTTCCCTTACCAGTTTTGACATATTTCTGCTACAGCACTGATTCTATTATTTTATTTACTGTTAATGCCTGTTTGGCTGCGGAAACAGTGTCTCATTCCTGTTTACATCTTCTCTGCACACCATGGTGTTCAGTAAATATTTGTTTGTTCAAGGATGATTATTTCATAATAAAACAAAAGCCTGAGGACTGAATAGATGAAACAGAATTTTCTGTCTAATCCTGAATGAAGGTCTTGCTTCCTGGTATTACATTCTGACAGCTTTGTCTATAGATTCTATATACTTTTTTGATTTGATTAATTCTGCTTGCTGGCCCAAGCACTGAATTCATATTGGTTCTTGCCGCTTTCCTTATACAAAAAGTAATGGCTCAAGTCCTAAAACCAGCTGGGGCACATGTATCTCAGGAATTGAACACCTTTGGAAACCTTTTATAGTACAATCCTTTAGAACACCAACTGTACAAATTTCAAAACTCTCTATAAACATCCATTGCATTTTGGTGTGATAAACTGTTAAACATAGTATTTGTAATAAGCAAAACTTAAAAGTATGCAACTCTTTTAAAACCCTGAAAAAACTACCTTTTGGGGCACTATTAATGAAGTTTGTCTGAAACCACCTTTTATTTTTCTGGCATATAAGATAATATCCTCAGAATCAAGAGAGTAAGAGCAGAATAACTGGTTCTAATTAGGAAATAGGCCTCTGAAAACAACTGCAAGCAGGTCTTTATTTGGATCAAATAAGCAGAAATAGAAAAAAATAAAGAGTTTTGAAATTATAGCTAAGGTTCACATTGTCATAATCAAATTACATTAAGAAGACCTATTATGAATTATTTAACAAAACTAAGATACACTGATTTGACATAAAATTGTCTTTAGAAAGAAAGATATTATTTCTTTACACTACTTTTATTTGTCTATTAAGAGATATAAATGACAGATAATAATTATCTCCATTGATAATTTCATGATTAAGAAGTATTTACATCGATGCTCTCAGCTGACCTTAAATGTGTGCTTTCATAGCATTTTAATCCCAGAGTCATCATTATCAGATGTGTTTAGTAGGCACGGGAAGTATATAAGACACCTAGGGGAATCACCTGATGACATGGGAATTTGCTGTTGACTTTAAACAGTAATTCATGATCTGGAGCTCTAGACAATCTGAAACAGTCTTAAAGCTGAATAACTTTTCCTATAATTATATTAAATAACTATTAATTGAAAATTTATTCGGCAGTATTTAGAGTCTTCTACCTAAAGTGATCTATTAATCTTGTGGTGGTTTTCTATATTTTGAAGAAATCTGACAATGCAGAGTTTTGGAATTTGAAAATGTGGTTAGTTCTTCAAGCATTTTTATTTAAAAAAAATAACTTTCAGAAAATTTTGGCATTAAATTCACTTCTCCAGAAATTCAAGACCAGTCTTGATTCCCTGAAAAATTGCCCCATTTTTCTCTCTTGAATATTTTGCAACAGAACTACAATGAAGTAATTTGAGTATTTTAAACTTGATACAATGCCTCATTCCCCACATCCAAGTCATTTAAATTCTTTCCTCAGTGCCTGTTTTCCACCAGATTGTGTCCAAGTTTAGCAGTTTAGTCCAAAATCTCAGTATCAACTGAACTTTTGACTCACATAAATGATTTTCAATAAACGTAATTAAATTTATATTAGAGGATTAGACCTGGTCAGAGAGATTTCCATTTCAATTATTAGAAAATAATATTTCAGGTTTAAGGACTGAAAAGTATTTCCAACCTTTAACTGGAACATTTTTTGTCTTAATTAGAGTACGTCTATTTACTTTTAGGCTTCCAGACTTTCTGTACGAAAAACAAGCTTTGAGTTTGAATTTTTAATCCCCCCAAAAAAACACAGTAAAATAGGACAACATGAGTTGTTCTTGCCCACAGTTCTTTTCTATTTGTACTATGTTTATCTTCATATGCTGAAAAATGTTCCTTTTTCTACATTGAGATTTTGATGTGCCAAACAAATTGAATTTCTTTTTCCTACCACATTTCTATTGGCGGGGACTGAAAGTTTCTCTGGATTTCCTTGTTGCTGTTGTTTGTGCTGTGAAATTATTCAGAATTTCTAGATGTTAACATTTTAACCTTCTTTTAGTTAATCTCAAATTTTTTTCCAGACATAATATTGAAATTATGTTTAAATGGAATCAGAAGAAATTTACATCCAGTACATTTATATACAAAAAAAAGGCGTATTTTGAACATATGAGTTTATATAAAAGTTGTAATTTACTTGATTTGAAAACTTTCTCAGTTTTACTTTTTATTCTGCCAAATAATATATATTGATATTAAAAATAGTTACAATGGATATGTTCATTTTATGTGAGCAAATGGGAGATGCCTACATTATGTTAGTATATTTTTCATACCCGTTTCTCAATTTAGTTATATGTATACTATCTAATATTATGATTGCAGATAAGTATTGACATTGACAATGACCACTTACAGAAGTAAGTTCATAGAAAAACACGTTTTTGTGTCTTGTTTTGTTTTCATTTTTGCTTTATTAGTAATTTTTAGGGTCACAAATGAATAGATTTTTCTATGCACTAATAATAATAACAGAATAGATACAAAATATTTTTTCTTAGCCAATGAGCACATTCTATTTGTCTAACATCTGCCTTCAAACCTAGCAATTTCTGTGCTCTCCAACCAAAGAACCGTTAACATTTGATCTGAGAGTGCTCTAGACCAGGGCTGTGGACCTTACCGGTCAGTGGCCTGTTAGGAACTGGCTGCACATAGGAGGTGAGTGGCGGGCCAGTGAGCATTACCGCCTGAGCACCACCTGCTGTCAGATTAGCAGCGGCATTAGATTCTCATAGAAGTGCAAACCCTACTGTCAACTGCACATGCGAGGGCTCTAGGTTGTCCACTCCTTAGAAGAATCTCACTAATGCCTGATGATCTGAGGTGGAACACTTTCATCCCAAAACCATCCTCACCCAGCCCCTTTCCATCTGTGGAAAAATTATCTTCCACGAAACTGGTTCGTGGTATCAAAAAGGTTGGGGACCACTGCTCTAGACTTAAAGCATGGTGGGGCCAGTATTTCTCAAATATAAATGAATATCACTAGCAGCCAGTTAACCTAGGGTTATTGATAAAATGCAGATTGCGGGGATACAATACAGACCTAATAAAACTGTTAAATCTATTGGCTATTCTTACACATATTAAGCTTTAAAACATCAGTTTACAGCTGTTAGTGGTTGAGAGGTAGCATTTGTTACTAGGGAAATACTGGGACACGAAAAATAGTAAAAATTTCAATGACTTGAAAAGTGAGAATGGCACTATGAATATTTAAGGACAAACATCCTGCATATACAAATCTGGACGGATCTTCAATGGCAGCTAAATGATCTAGTTATGCGTAATCTGTAAAGAAACCCTATAGCTTTATAGCAAACATAGCTGTAGTTTGGATTACATCTTATGCATAAAACAAAAACATGTTTTACTATATATTAAACATACGAAGTATAATACTTCTAATTCATAGGTAAGATATCGTGTAGAAAACATTTCAAATATGAAGCACTATTATGAAGATAAAAATAGTTTTCAATAATCTGAAGATACTGAAAATAAAATAATATTTTAAATTCCATACACTTTTAAAATATCAACTCTAAATTGCTTTCATATGTGTATACTGAAAATAAACTTATTAAAACTGAGCTGAACTAAGTTTCTTAAATATTTAGAAAACATTTTTAGATTTAAATTGAGAAATATCTGCTGAAAACTTAAAAATCAAACTATTTGCTTTAGAAATACATGGTAAACAATTGAAAATTGTTCAAATATAAATCTGAAATGTCCCCTCTCAGTGTGTCTCTGTCTTGTAGAAAGCATAGTAACCCATTTCTAAAATTTTTAGCTGATAAAATATGGTTATAGTGCTTACTGCAGCCACTGAGTCACATATAATAAGTATGAGAAAACATTTAAACATCAAATTCCAATAATTAATGTGTCACTTCATTGTAGAAAAGTTGTAGCAATTGAATAAATGATTGTATATGTAACTAGATATTCAAACTCTGGCCTGATTTTAATTAAATTTAACACTTCAACATTTAAAGTAAATTGTTTTTGTTTTAATTTTGTTTAATACTTATTAGATGTAAGAACTTTCGCTCTTTTGTTGGTAGCTTTATAAAGCTTTATAAAGAAGCCACCACTAAATAATAAAAACAATGCGCCCTGTCCTGGAAACCATTTTTGAATTTTGTTGATAGATGGAAGTTGCAAAGACATAATACTACAGGAAAACCTTCCTAAGTTTATGTAAGTTCTTATATGAAACTGATGAATGATACATTTATCCACAATACATTTTCAGAAAGCAGATTTTATTTCCTCTTCTATGTAAGAAGAATAGCAGACTTATATAATTCACTGGAAATGTATACATAAAATTTAAGTCATAATCAAATTTAGGATGAACTGATGTAGAACACAAATTGTGGCCAGAGAAGAAACAATCTCTTTTAGAGAAAGATATATATATATCATGTTCACAACCTCATCCTCAGCATTTAGCACTGCTCCTGATCCATGGGAGTAGCTCATCTGGCAGGTGTCTAATAAATATGGATGAATAAATGTAAGAATCATTACTTTAGATATGCAGATGGTTAAAGACAGAGCTTTAGATTGCAAATCAGTTTAGCCTCATCAGTTTTGCATTTTAATCTTGTGGCTCAGCTTCCTTTTTTTCCTAAACAAGACCTCTCTCACCTCTTACACAGATTATTCCAATAGTTTGATCCCCTTAATTCCAGATCTTTTCTCTTCCACCACCGCCACCACCTCAAATTCATTCTGCACATAGCTACTCTATTCTTTAAGCCATTCTATGGTCTAAAACTCTCCAGTGATTTCCTTCTGCCTTTGAAAGTAATGCAGACTTTACGACAAGGTGCATATTCTGATGTTTCCTTACAGCTTTGAATTTACCTTTGTCATTCTCATTGAAATCTACAGTTTGTCAGGTTTTATTGTCCTGTTTTACGTGAATAACATGCCTTTTGTTATATCAGCACTTTGCATAAACTTTTCTACTTTCTGTAATATTCTTCCCCTTTCTTTCCCTAACATCTACTTACTCTATCAGTTTAAAATTTGCTGCATTTACAGATGTCCTCGGACAAAATTCATAGGTCCAGCATTCCTAACATATAAATCATCACACTGTACTTTTACCGTAGGAACTAACAATGTCACTGGTGCTGACACAAAATATAATTTCATTCTTTCATAATAAGACAGATGACCAGATAAGATATATCCTTGGCCAAGTGTGGTGGCTCACGCTTGTAATCCCAGCACTTTGGGAGGCCGAGGTGGGCAGATCAAGAGATCAAGACCATCCTGGCCAACATGGTGAAACCCCACCTCTACTAAAACTACAAAAATTAGCTCGGCGTGGTGGTGCACACCTGTAGTCCCAGCTACTCGGGAGGCTGAGGCAGGAGAATCAGAATCGTTTGAACACGGGAGGTGGAGGTTGCAGTGAGCCGAGATCACACCACTCCATCTCAAAAAGAAAAAAAAAAAAGATACATCCTTACAAATATATCTTCATACTGATTGTTAAATTTTATGATGATTTCATTATAAATTTATATGAGATTTGTAAGCTATTGATTAAGGGAAAATCAAATAATCAAATTTAGAAAATATTTTTCTATTTCTATAAAATAATATTTCCGAGCACTAGCCCAAAGTATTGCTCTTATGGCTATTACAAACTCTTTTAAATAAAAATCCTGCATATCAAATATCTACATTAAGTCCTACATCCACTGTACTCTAAGAGAGGGAAAGTGTTATTATTTTAAGATTTTGACAGGTTTTCCAGATAGTCGTTTTGCTTGGGGAGGATAAGTGTGCTGTGTGCTGGGAGAGGAGTTGATGATTGGGGGAGGGTGGGAAGGAGTCCATTCCTGTGGGATGGCTGACAGGTAAAAGATTGAAGGTAAGGTAATTAGCAAAGCTAGGTGGGAGGAGAGGTGCTTCTAGGGCAGTTCCTGAGATGAATCTCTAAGTGATATCCCCATTTGTACACTAGTGTAATAGGTTTCCATTTAAAATGAAATTGAAATATAATGAGGCAAATTTGAGGTCTGCCAAGTTTGTTAAAGTAGAGTCCTACATTTACTCACACTTCTCAGCCGAGCCAATACAATGTAGAACTGTGAAAAGACTAGAATATGTTTGTATTTTCTCTCTCAGTTACAATAGGAAACAAACATGTATTTGAAAACTATTTTATAAATAAATTCCTCCTAGGAATTTATGCTATCATCATACCTTTATAATAATAATTACCTAATAAATAATTTTTAATGAGGTCAAAACAATGGGTTAAGGCCTGTATTCAGCTACTAATATTGTCCTTTCACGACGTTAAATTTATTTCCTTTCTGCTGACCAACCATTTTATAAATGTATATTTATTCATATACATGCATGCAGATATATAAATACACATCACCACATAACTGCATGTATAAAGCAGAAGTAAGAGGTGGTAAAGAGCAAAGTTGCTGTGGTTTATTGCAGGGGAAATGTAAAATAAAAATGAACACCTTAAAGGACATTTTTCTTCCTGATTATGAGTTGGTAATTCTACTGAGTTTTCTTTAAAATGATGATAACTTTCAATATAAACTGGAAAAATATTAAACAAGGATACATTATGCAAATATTGGTCAACAGCTTCATTATGAAACGCATGTTTTGCATGCAATCACTGACTTTTCTTTTTGGGAATTATAATAACTTTGTACCAAGTGCATACTTTTGCTCAAAGATACGTTTAAATGATAACACTATCCCTAGTGGTACAAGGTTGGAAAGCCATATTAACTAATTTATCAAATGCACTATCCAGAAGAGCTGGCTCTTCACTTTTTTTTTTAAATAAGAAGCCAGTGTTCACATGAGAATGTTTTTAAAATCAGATATTAGCTTCCAACATAAATTAAGCATTAATATGTGCCAGTCTCCGAAAGGACCATGTATATGAATTCTTGACTTACTGAACAATAATCTTTTGATAGTACTTTCTTTGAACTTTGTTGGAACTATTTATCTTTTCTCAATAAATTATTTATAGAATATGGAAACTCATACCCAATGGATGTCTATCAATACCTTTACAAATTACAAGTGGTTTTCCAAAGTAATTGTTCAAACGTTTTAATTTATAAATGGAAAGACTGGAGAGATGGAATTTCATTCCTTTATGTTCTTGTAAAATCTAGAGATGTGCATACACAACAAAATTTTGCCCCCGCAGTCATTAGAAAAGCAATTAATGGGACTCTAGGAGATTGAGAGAAAATGGTCTAAAGTGGGACTTCTCAAGTATGTATCTCATGAGGTGGTCCAATTATTCAGAGCTAGGCAGTCACAATTCTAGGCTGACTCAGATGGGTCATATTATTTGTGCAGTAGGCTCAGAAAGAAACTATGAAACATTCTCCTATTGTTTCACTTTTTAAACATCTAGACCTCTGGCTCAATTGTATAATTGGTTATGTGCTTAATACTATATTACCGATCCTTAAACAAATACTTATGAGACACATTACTAGGTATTGTGGGGGATGGATAGTACTCACTTAAAAGGAACTTATGATATACTTAGAAAAACCAAAATCTTAAAAGGATATTTTCCCTAAATACATATTAGTATACAACTAATAACCTAAGGCTTCTTTGGCCCAAACATTTTGTTTGAAAATTCCTACTAGAGAAATATGTTCAAATTGGTTTAATTTAGTTTTCCATAATTATTCCACCAGTGAACACATCTCTAATTTTTTTCTATACTCTGTAGCATGAAATTTTCTTGAGCACATCTGGGAAGCCCTGGTCTGACAGGCAAGTGGCGGACATTAACTCACAGGCCCAATTATGACATTGCACAACAGTCATTTAAAGTCTCAGCCTTACTTACTCTGCTTGTGATATGTTGTGCAGTTGAGATGGATGCTCGCTGAAGGACTCCCAAGCTCCAAGTCTCTAGGGTTTCTTGAGTCATAAACTCTATGCTGCCACTAAAATAGTAAAAATTCTAGAGGGGAGAAGTCAATGTGACTTGTCTGTCTGTCTAATTAAATTTCTTCTATAAGAAAATAGGCTGTTTTAAATATGTCTAGATATTTATTCTACAATACCAGGTAAATAAGTATTTGATTTATAAGTTTAGGTTCAAAGTTAATTTATCTATATTTAACATCAGAATATTCACATATCTAAAAAAGTATTAGTACAGTGAGTTAAATTTTGTTTTGTTTTTGAAAAGGAATTTTATACACTTATTACACTAGAGCAGCATAACATTTCTGCCAAATGTAGAGGTGAAGAATTCCCAGGCTGAGGTAAATGGGTTGATATAGATCACTAAACATTCAGTGAATTTGTTCTTCCTTAAAATGTACCCATTCTACAGAAGTCAATGTGACTTGTTTGATGTCTGTCTAATTAAATTTATTCTATAAGAAAATAGATCTTATTAAATATGTCTAGATATTTATTCTAGAATATCAGGTAAATAAGTATTTGATTTATAAGTTTGGGTTGAAAGTTAATTTATCTATAATTAACATATCAGAATATTCGTATATCTATAAAAGTATTAGTACAGTGAGTTAAATTTTGTTTTTGAAAAGTAATTGTATACACTCATTACACTAGAACAGCATAACATTTCTGCCAAATATAGAGGTGAAGAATTCCCAGACTGAGGTAAATGGGTTGATATAGATCTCTAAACATTCAGTGAATTTGTTCTTCCTTAAAATGTACTCCATTCTACAGCAATATATAAAGTATACTAATCCATGACTCTACTCCATAATTAATGTTTACTTTATATTCATTTCAAATTTTCTTAATTGCTTTTGTTTAACCTTCAGAGAATTTGGACTGTCAAGTTATTTTTTTCTGCTATTAGTTTTACCTTTTATGTTTAGAGTGATAGGAAAGATGTTGGAAATGCTAGTAGTGTGCCAGTATCTTTGTATAGAGTTCCAGTTGGATTTTTTTTATTATTATTATACTTTAAGTTTTAGGATACATGTGCACAATGTGCAGGTTTGTTACATATGTATACATGTGCCATGTTGGTGTGCTGCACCCATTAACTGGTCATTTAGCATTTGGTATATATCCTAATGCTATCCCTTCCCCCTCCCCACACCCCACAACAGTCTGCGGAGTGTGATGTTCCCTTTCCTGTGTCCATGTGTTCTCATTGTTCAATTCCCACCTATGAGTGAGAACATGCGGTGTTTGGTTTTTTGTCCTTGTGATAGTTTGCTGAGAATGATGGTTTCCAGTTTCATCCATGTCCCTACAAAGGACATGAATTCTTCATTTTTTATGGCTGCATAGTATTCCATGGTGTATATGTGCCACATTTTCTTAATCCAGTCTATCATTGTTGGACATTTGGGTTGGTTCCAAGTCTTTGCTATTGTGAATAGTGCCGCAATAAACATATGTGGGCATGTGTCTTTATAGCAGCATGATTTATAATCCTTTGGGTATGTACCCAGCAATGGGATGGCCGGGTCAAATGGTATTTCTAGTTCTAGATCCCTGAGGAATCGCCACACTGACTTCCACAATGGTTGAACTAGTTTACAGTCCCACCAACAGTGTAAAAGTGTTCCTATTTCTAAGAGTTTTTAGTATGTATTCCTTTGATTGGACATACAGCTGTAATTGGCAAATTTTTCTCACAATAATGGTCCATCACTCACACTCGTGATCTCTTCATTATCTGCCCTAGCAGACTGATACATCAATGAGAAAAATAATCTTCAAGTTGAGTGGTCTTTTCCTATGGTTCTTTCATTCATGTTGACTTTTTCCTTATCATTCACATAAGCCCCTACATAGTAGTCCTCAGTTTTACTTTCCGTCAGAATCAGGTGGTGTGCTTGTTTAAAGCTTCATTCACAAACCTCCAATTTAGTGGAATATAAATTGTACCTGAGGATTGTGGAATAAACTCTTTTTCAGACATAAATTGGGGAAAATGGAATTGTAAATAATTAGAGAATGAATTTGTGTCATAGGAAATGAGACTGGTTCCTAGGCTATAAGGATTGATATGGCAGAATATGTTCCAGCAACCATGTGATTGGCATTAGTCTTTGTCTGCATGATAAAAGCATCTGTAGTGCATTCTGGCATAGGAAGAAGAGAAAGTGCAATCTATTGCTTGCTGCAAGAAAATTACGGACTGAATTCCCAGATTCTTTATTCTTACTTATCCTGGACATTATCGTAGAAAAAAAAAAAAAAAGAAGTATTTTTTTAATCTAGAATTTTACCCTAAACCAAAGGTACACAGTTTAAACAGTAGTTAAATGTAAGAGGGAAAAAAAAATATGACCAAAGTTAAGAAATCTTAACTTTCTATCTTTAATTTACCACTTACCAAATTGTATAACCTTGCACAAGTCACCACGCTTTTTTGAACCTTAGTTTCAAAATCAATTAAATGGATTAGATGATATCAAAAATTGCCTTCCAACTATTATAGACTGAATTTGGATGTAAGGGGGAGATAAGTCACTGTAATTTATTATCTCCTTATTTTCTAGAAGGAGGACATCTAGTTTTATAAAAATTCTGATATGAAGCTAAAAGAATGTAAGGCTACAAATAACTATATTCGTCCCTCAGTACACATGGGGTATTGGTTCCAGGATCACCCACGTATACCCAAATATGTGCATACAGAAGTCTCACAGTTGGTCCTGGGGAACCCACGTGTCTGAAAGTTACCCTGTGCATATGCTTGCTCCGCACCTCGTGAATGCTGTATTTTTGATCCATGTTTGGTTGAAAAACAAATCCGCGTATAAGTGGAGCCATGCAGTTCAAACCTGAGTTGTTCATGGATCAACTGTAATTTTGAAACAGTTTCCTACACACTGCTTATTACTGTTTGGCATGATTTCCTTCTTGGGCACACTACTATTGACAAACTTTTCATTTTATACCCATAACCCACCTACCTGAAGTATTCCTGAGTTTGGTTCCTGTAATACAATATGTAATCAAACAAATAAAACTCAGAAAGAACTTTGCTGGTATAGAACAGAGAATGTATACACCATTTTTATCCTTCAGGGCTAGAACTCCCCAAAAGCACACCAAAATAATCACCCCAAATTAAATAGAATATCAAACTATTTATGTTCTGTGAAGACAACATAATACATTTTTCCCCAAGGGAGGACACCTGACATTTAGAAGGGGATGTTCCTGAAACTTACCCAGAGAGGAGAAGGAAGTGTAAAGAAAAGGTATTTTCTCAAAGTCCAATAACATAACATGGCATAAGATTGAAAACTCCATCAGGGTTTGATCGCCTACATCTGGATATTTCTCTGAAAGCATAATATGAATAATATAATAAAAGGAAACATATGAGACACTTACTTATAAGTTCTCCCTTAGTTGCAGAAACTTGATGATGTGTAACATGAATTAAATTTTTTTTTTTTTTTTCTGAGACACAGTCTCACTCTGTTGCCCAGGCTGGAGTGCAATGGCAAAATCTCTGCTCACTGCAACTTCCATCTCTCGGGTTCAAGCAATTCTCCTGCATCAGCCTCCCGAGTAGGTGGGATTATATGCATGTGCCATTAACCCTGGCTAATTTTTGTATTTTTAGTGGAGACGGGGTTTCACCATGTTGGCCAGGCTAGTCTCGAACTCCCAACCTCAGGTGATCCGCCCGCCTCAGCCTCCCAAAGTGCTGGGATTACAGGCATGAGCCACCGCGCCTGGCCTCTTGTAATTTGTTTGTGCTCAAGTGCTTTGCATGCATGGCTATACACTAGCGATGGAATGGGAGCTTTTAAAATAACAGCATAGGTTTAGTGTTAAGCTTTTCTGGAAGTAGGAGAACAGAGCAATAGTGAGTGTACATAAAACCATATCTATCATGACTCATTTAAAAAGTTTATAATTGAATTTTATTTATTCCATACTGTTTTTTTTTCCTCATTGTTCTGCACTTTCTGATTTCCTGCTGTAAAGAGAGCCTGAAGCAATCTGCTCTAGTCTTGAGGAACTTTGGTGACTATTACACTTTCAGTGTCTCTGTTGCTCTAAATTTTTCTTTCCCAGGTAAAACAGTGTTCCACTATTTTAAAACCTTCTCCAGTGATGGCTTCATGGATTTCTTGTATTTCTTTATACTTCAGTATCTAAATATTCTTTTGGAATCACTGTACTACCAAAGTGATTTTTGTTGCTATTTTAAAATCACATTTGTTCTACATGTCTAATTAAGTTCTGCTTGTCTTCATAACCATCGGTTGTGGGTTGCCAAGTAACACAGGGCAGAACATGCTTTCAAGCGTGCAGTGATTATTATGGCTATATATTATCTTCTCATAACATATTTGCTTCATGTCTTGTTGCTAAATATTCAACATTTTCCAAAACATGCCTTATCTATCCTAATGCATTGAAAAATAAAGCATCAACCAAAACTAGCATTAACTTTTTATGAGTGTGGTAGATTAGAAAGTTGACAGATAAATTAAATCTCATTGGGTTACACATAGTTTTCACTTGCAGGAGTATTTCTATAAGTATTATGAAAATATATTTAAAGCACCAAAAACATGGCAGAGAGTCAAAACAAATTTTCATTTGTAGCTTGTAACTTTATATTCTAAAAAACGAGGAGACTCATACACACTTTGGAATGGAGCCCTTGAAGTGCATGGATTTTGTAAATAAGAATTATCACAGATAAAGAGAAATTGAAAAACCCTCATCAACTGCATTTTTAGAATCAGCATTTTTAAGTGCATGTAATTCAAAAATTACTTTCAATGATGTCATATGTAAATTAGATCCAGTGTAAAGTGGTTTTTAAACATCACATAAGCTTATGATAGTCTTTTGTCATGTGCAATTCTTCTAACTGCTGAACATTAGGAAAAATTTCAAAGAATAAGATGTCATACAAATCAACCTACAGGCTGCATGTGGTGGCTCACGACTGTAATCCCAGCACTTTGGGAGGCCAAGGCAGGCGGATCACAAGGTTAGGAGTTCAAGACCAATCTGGCCAGCATGGTGAAACCCTATCTCTACTAAAAATAGAAAAATTAGCTGGGTGTGCTGGTGCGCACCTGTAATCCCAGCTACTTGGGAGGCTGAGGCGGGAGAATTGCTTAAACAAAGGAGGTGGAGGTTGCAGTGAGCCGAGAGCGCACCACTGCACTACAGCCTGGGTGACAGAGCAAGACTTCGTCTCAAAAACAAACAAACAAACAAAAAACAAATCAACTTACTAGTTAAATACTATCTTATGCTGTTAGCATTCTATTGCCATGCATAGAATGTTATTCTATGTTGCTAGTGTCTAGTTGTTTTGTAATACCACATTGCCTTGTTACGATATATTATAACGTATAAAGGCCTCCAAAAAAAGATGAAAAGTAGATCACTTACATTTCTTAAAATGTGGTATGTTGTATCAAACCTAAATACCTAAAATTTCTTGATTCCTTAGCATTTTAATATCATGCATGAACATGTTTCACCTTAGGTGCATTATCCTACTAAAATCATCAAACATACTGGATAATAATGTAGGTAATTCATTTGTCTAATCAATTTCTTTCAAAATATTCTTTAAAAAAATTCTCAAATGTTTTCAGAATTGCATGACTACAGCTTAGAAGTATTGTGTTTCTAAAATTGTATTTGGGGTTAATGAACACTATAATTTGGTAGAGTTACTGAGTTTTCATATTTAATGTTTACTTTAATTGGAAAATTTTAATTATAGAATGCTGAGGTGATGCTTGAGTGAATCGGATTTTGTGTACAGACACTTGATTCCATACTTAAGAACGTAGATGAAAATCACAGTTGATGTCAAGGCAGGTTGTGCATGTTAAGATGACACCCACAGTGTGTATCTAACTCTTCAGGTGTCAGTTTCTCTTAATTGGAAGTCAGGCTTGCCCTAGTAGTAGAAGACTGACAGGGGAATGTCCTTGATCCATAAAGCTATATTCTCACTCAGAAGTCAGCTTAACATATGGAATCCTGATTTTGTAAAAAATAAAATAAATAAATAAAAAAAGTCTTATGTAGCCTGTTCTGCTTCCTTGTGATATAAAGCTTAATCTGGCTCAGAGCTCCAACCCCTGCCATTGTTATGCCATGCCTTTTATCTGGGGTCCCCTCTTTACCTCCTTTTATATACAATACTGTGACATTTCCGTTGGTACCTCATTTGCTTAGGCTATTCATTAATCAATAAACATTTGGGTCATGAATAAATGAACATTCCCATAAAATCAAATTTACAAATATTGCTGGGGAGACAAAAATAATTGATGAAGCATTTACATAGTTAAAACATTTGATAGTTTACTTCAGTTACAAGCACAGAGAGTATAGAAAAAGATTTTGATGTTTAATATACATAATCACAACTAAAATCAGGGAGTACCTCCTTTTTAACCTCTAGCTGATCTTGGAATTTCTTTTGTAGTGTATAATTGGGAAACAATAGGGACCAATGCTCTTTCCTGATCTCAAAGAAGCCCACTCTCTAGAGAGAAAAGCAAGACCTATAATATTGAAGATTTGAGAAAAAGTTAAATTGTGATAAAACATGCTGATTTCTCACACTGACTTAGGAAAAGCACCTAAGCCTCAAAAACTAGAATTGTCTTAGGAGTTAATGCTGTGGCTATTCTTGTCCTGGCATTTGGGTGAATGCATGAATTCTTTATTTCAGTTTATAGAATAAGATAAACTATCGAGAACTTCAGGTTGCTGCATAATTTTGACAGCCATTCCCTGTACCTCCCATAGTAGTATATTTTACTTAAAAAAATGTGGGAGGAAGGAAAGGGCACTCATAAATATTTCCACAAAGTAATCAAGACTTTGTTCACAGGCCTTGTGAGTCAATGATAAGGTAACCTAAGACACATTTTTGAATAGCTATATAAATACAGCATACGGCTATGCACATTCTATTGCTGGGCAACAGTGGACAGTCATTAATTCCCAAGGAAACAGAACTTTAAATGAGAAAGGCTACCTTGGAAATGCTCAGGAAAAATAAAAAGCAATTACAGTGAATAAGCCTGTGTGAGTTCATGGAAGAATATATTTGTAATGAATAATTCTTAATTATCTGCAGACTAGGAATATCTATGTTTTAACGTAGGGAGAAACAGTAACCAACAGATCAGAGGTTTCAGATGACTCGATTGATGGTTTCCTGGCAGTTTCTAAGAAAAGATTCAGGGAAACTTCAAAAAGTAATTATATTTTTTCTTTACGTATAAATAAAAAAATTTAGTGTAACCATAAATAAAGTTTTATTTATCCATTCATTGATTTGTGTAAGAAATAATCACTGAGCTTCAACAAAAAAAAATGTAATTCAGTATGATAGTTTCCTGTGTAATTTATCATGAGGGAGCACAAGATAAATGACCCTAGGATTCTGTCTATAAGAAACTTACAATACTATGTATAAGAAAATGGCATGTTCACAAATAAGAAAAACTTACACTGTAACTTGCCAAATGTAATAATGGAGGCACAGAATAACCGAATGGGAGTTCAGAAGAAAATGCATTTAATGCTAGCTTGCAGCTGAATGGAAAATCATGAAATTTTCAGAGATGAAAAATATATTTGATTTTTATGCACAAAGGTGGGTACTTTGGACATCTGGCAAGGGGGGAGGCATCCCATCTGAATGTAAGCAAAAGCACATACGAAACAATATTCCAGAACGTGAGTACTTCAAGGAGTACTTGAATTAGATTGGTGGAAATTCAGATTGGGGAAGAACAGTTTTGACCACATTGTGTGGCGGAGGAATGTAGTGGGCTAGGATGACATGTAAAGAAATTGGATTATTTTTGAGGAGAAGTAGGTAACCACACATGATTTTTGAGCAGGAGGTAATTGTTTTGATAAGAGAAATAAATTTGATGATTTAGAAAAAGTGAGATGTAAAAGAATAATTAGAAAGCTGTTCAATTTATTTTGCTGTGCAGAAGCTCTTTAGTTTAATTAGATCCCATTTGTCAATTTTGGCTTTTGTTGCCATTGCTTTTGGTGTTTTAGACATGAAGTCCTTGCCCATGCCTATGTCCTGAATGGTATTGCCTAGGTTTTCTTCTAGGGTTTTTATGGTTTTAGGTCTAACGTTTAAGTCTTTAATCCATCTTGAATTAATTTTTGTATAAGGTGTAAGGAAGGGATCCAGTTTCAGCTTTCTACATATGGCTAGCCAGTTTTCCCAGCACCATTTATTAAATAGGGAATCCTTTCCCCATTGCTTGTTTTTCTCAGGTTTGTCAAAGATCAGATAGTTGTAGATATGCGGCGTTATTTCTGAGGGCTCTGTTCTGTTCCATTGACCTATATCTCTGTTTTGGTACCAGTACCATGCTGTTTTGGTACCAGTACCATGCTGTTTTGGTTACTGTAGGCTTGTAGTATAGTTTGAAGTCAGGTAGTGTGATGCCTCCAGCTTTGTTCTTTTGGCTTAGGATTGACTTGGCGATGCGGGCTCTTTTTTGGAACCATATGAACTTTAAAGTAGTTTTTTCCAATTCTGTGAAGAAAGTCATTGGTAGCTTGATAGGAATGGCATTGAATCTATAAATTAACTTGGGCAGTATGGCCATTTTCATGACATTGATTCTTCCTAACCATGAGCATGGAATGCTCTTCCATTTGTTTGTATCGTCTTTTATTTCATTGAGCAGTGGTTTGTAGTTCTCCTTAATGAGGTCCTTCACATTCCTTGTAAGTTGGATTCCTAGGTATTTTATTCTCCTTGAAGCAATTGTGAATGGAGTTCACTCATGATTTGGCTCTCTGTTTGTCTGTTATTGGTGTATAAGAATGCTTGTGATTTTTGTACATTGATTTTTGTATCCTGAGACTTTGCTGAAGTTTCTTATCAGCTTAAGGAGATTTTGGGGTGAGACGATGGGGTTTTCTAAATATACAATCATGTCGTCTTCAAACAGGGACAATTTGACTTCCTCTTTTCCTAGTTGAATAGCCTTTATTTCCTTCTCCTGCCTAATTTCCCTGGCCAGAACTTCCAACACTATGTTGAATAGGAGTGGTGAGAAAGGGCATCCCTGTCATCAGAGGGAACAGGCAACCTACAAAATGGGAGAAAATTTTTGCAACCTACTCATCTGACAAAGGGCTAATATGCAGAATCTACAATGAACTCAAACAAATTTACAAGGAAAAAACAAACAACCCCATCAAAAAGTGGGCAAAGGACATGAACAGACACTTCTCAAAAGAAGACATTTGTGAATCCAAAAAACACATGAAAAAATGCTCACCATCACTGGCCATCAGAGAAATGCAAATCAAAACCACAATGAGATACCATCTCACACCAGTTAGAATGGCAATCATTAAAAAGTCAGGAAACAACAGGTGCTGGAGAGGATGTGGAGAAACAGGAATACTTACACTGTTGGTGGGACTGTCAACTAGTTCAACCATTGTGGAAGTCAGTGTGGCAATTCCTCAGGGATCTAGAACTAGAAATACCATTTGACCCAGCCATCCCATTACTGGGTATATACCCAAGGGACTATAAATCATGCTGCTATAAAGACACATGCACACTTATGTTTATTGTGACACTATTCACAATAGCAAAGACTTGGAACCAACCCAAATGTCCAACAATGATAGACTGGATTAAGAAAATATGGCACATGTACAGCATGGGATACTATGCAGCCATAAAAAATGATGAGTTCATGTCCTTTGTAGGGACATGGATGAAATTGGAAATCATCATTCTCAGTAAACTGTCACAAGAACAAAAAGCCAAACACCACATATTCTGACTCATAGGTGGGAATTGAACAATGAGAACACATGGACACAGGAAGGGGAACATCACACTCTGGGGACTGTGGTGGGGTGGGGGGACGGGGGAAGGATAGCTTTAGGAGATATACCTAATGCTAAATGACGAGTTAATGGGTGCAGCACACCAGCATGGCACATGTATACATATGTAACAAACCTGCACATTGTGCACATGTACCCTAAAACTTAAAGTACAATAAAATGAAATAAAATAAAATAAAATAAAGAAAGCTGTTCAATTAATCCAGACAAAATACATATGAGCTACTGAAATGAAAATGGAAGCCAAGGGAATGGAGAGCAGAGGTAAAGTGAGGGAACATTATGAAGGTTGCATTGATACGACATATCAAATTTTAATATGTAAATGTGAATGGGGCAGATGAAAGTAAGGAAGATGGAGATTTTTTCCCTTAGGATTCCAGGGCAATAAAGCTAATAGTAGCACAAAAGGCAAATAGCTAAGGAGGAACAGATTTTGAAGAGAAGGTACTTTCTTCCATTTGTAGCATCCACCTGGTTTGAAGTGTTAGTGAACCATTCCAGAATGAACATCCCAGTACATAGTTTTAAAGGAGGAACAGTATTTGGGCACAGGTTCCTTATTCACTTATACCATAAATGAATATTGTGGCATATTATGTGAGAGGTACCATGGTATGCTCTGGGAAAATAAAGATTAATAAGGCACAAGCTCCTTCTATCAATGATCTAATGTAAAATATATCCATCTAAACAGGAACTAATAATTTTGTATTAGTAACCTAGTATTTGGATATTAATTAAAACAAGTACGGGGAAACGTAGCCTTGCCTGATCAGGGAAAATGTGATGGCAGTGAATTCTAGGCAGTTTATGACAAGGCAGAATAGGGAGGGGTAGAGGGAGGCAAAAATGTTCAGAAGAGAGAAGCATCTATATACAGCATTCAACAAGTTGCCAAAGCTGGAGAAAGTCATTGGCCCATCATAACAACTATTGTCTACACAAATAGTGAGTTTGGGTAATTCTATGAAGAAAGAGAATTAGGAGATCTAAAAGAAAACTTACAGTAGGTAGATCATTTGGAAGTATCCACATAGGATACAATTAGTAGGAGGGACGAAAAGAAAAAGTGGGACAGGGAGACAGAAGCAGCCAAAGAGGTAAGATAACAACTGATTGTCACAAGGAAGATACAGTGTCATACACCATCTATCGCTGTCCCATTTTACAAAGGTATGGCATCAACTAAAAATTTTCATTGGCATTGGCACAAAGGATAATATAATATTGATACTCTTAAATAAATTTATGGAATATAAGAATGTGTGTGAGGGAGGGTTTAGAAAAGTTGAAAAAGTTTTGCAAAAAACGGGAACAGAATATATATGGATATTTCATAAGTTTTGGTAATAAAAAGAAGAATGAGTAAAGTACACAATTGGCCAGAAGCACGTAATTGGCACATAAAAGGATGGTCACCATCACCAGTCATTAAGAAAATACAATTCAAAGCCACAATGATATACCACTTCGCAACATTAGGATGGCTATTGTAAAACAAAGCAAAACATAAAATAACAAGTGTTGGTGACGAAGGCAAAAAATTAGGTCCCTTAAGCATTGCTGATAGGATTGTAAAATGGTGCAGCCTCTGTGGAAAACAGTGTGACTCTTTCTTTCTTCTCTCTTTCTCTCTTTCTTTCTTTTCTTTCTTTCTTTCTCTTTCTTTTTCTTTCTTTCTTTCTTTCTTTTTCTTTCTTTCTTTCTTTCTTTCTTTTTTTCCTTCCTTCCTTCCTTCTTTCTCTTTCTTTCTTTCTCTTTCTTTTTTTTTTTTTTTGATGGAGTTTCACTCTTTTTGCCCAGGCTGGAGTACAATGGCATGATCTCAGCTCACTGCAACTTCTTGCCTCTCGGGTTCAGCCATTCTCCTGCCTCAGCCTCCCTAGTAGCTGGAACAACAGGCCTGCACCATCACACCCAGCTAATTTTTTGTATTTTTAGTATAGATAGGGTTTTGCAATGTTTGGCCAGGCTGGTCTCGAACTCCTGACTTCAGGTGATCCACCCACCTTGGCCTCCCAAAGTTCCTGGATAACAGGTGTGAGCCTGTTATCATGGTAGGCAGTATGACTATTTCTTTAAAAGTTAAATACACAATTACCATATGATCCAGCATTTCCATCTCTGGGTATATACACAGAATAATTTAAAGCAGGCACACAAACAGGTATTTGTACTGTCATGTTTCTAGTAGCATTATTTACAATAGCCAATAGTTGGAAACAAATGTCTGTAAATGGTTGCATAGATAAAAATGTCTCTGGGCATATACACAGAATAATTTAAAGCAGGCACACAAATAGGTATTTGTACAGTCATGTTTCTAGCAGCATTATTTACAATAGCCAATAGTTGGAAACAAATGTCTGTAAATGGTTGCATAGATAAAATGTGGTGTATGCATATAATGTAATGTTAGCCTTAAAAGGAATGAATTTCTGGTACATGCTAGGGTGTGGATAAATCTTGAAGATATTATACTAAGGGAAATAAGCCATAAAAAGACAACAATGCATGATTCCACTTCTATGAGGTACCTAGAACAGTCCAATTCACCAAGACAGAATGTTGAATAGTACATACCAGAGGCTGGGTGAGGAGATAGAGTTTCAGTTTGAGATGACATAGGAGTTCTGGAGATGGCTGCTAGTGATGGTTGAACAACAATATGAATATACTTAATGCCACTGAAACATATGCCTAAAAATGGTTAAAACAGTAAACTTTATATTATGTATATTTTACCACAATAAAAAAATTAAAAAAATAAAATGGCAGATTAAGAAATAGATAGAAGGGATGTAAACTTTACAATAAATTGTTACAGGAATTATTTGAATTAGAAAAAAACATGTTTTTAAGTTAAGGAGTATTAAAACAAAACAACAAGGAAAAAGTGATTAGGATGTATCTTCAGAAAAAATCAAGTCGGGATCAAGAAAGCAATTCTTTAAAGCTTGTGTTTTATTAGGTTAATTAAGACATAACTAGGTAGTTAACTAAAACCCTAAATAAGAAGTATGGGAACTATATAGCTTATCACACCAGATGCAGCATATATTAATCTGGACAGTTGCTATTTTGTGTGGTTTTTAACAAGTTTATTTATTACTTATTAATTTTTCCATTTGATGAAATAATGTGCTAGGTTTTTGGACAATGACTCAAGGAAGATGTGGGAGGAGGGGGAAGTGACTATAATATAGTTACTTAAAAAAACTTTTCATGGTTGTATGCAAACAAATAATTCATAAGCATCAACTGTCATAGCTATCCTCAAACTACAAGAACTCCAGACACAGATTATTTTTCTTGCTAACGAGGGTGTCCATAAAATTCATTCTCCAAACAAAAGAAATCGCAAGTGAAAATAGATGATAAAGATAGCATTAATATGCATAAACATAAACATAGAGAAAGAGAGACAGTGGGGAGAAAGAGAGGAGAGAGAGAGAGAGAAAGACATCATCAGGCATAAACTGAGGCTAATTTTGAAAGATAGAAAAGTAGGGGGGGAAATAGTAAAGACTCAAGAGTTCAGTTTTTAAATTCTCAGCCATGAACTCATTTAAATGGCTTAGTGAGGCATAGTGGGATGGTATAGAAAGAATAATCCCAACTTGGGAATGCTACTATGGAAACAATAGCATCATTTAAAATTTATCTTCTTGTTATGAGGGAAAAGTAAAGAGAAAAGGATGGTATCACATTAGGCTCCAAACCTTTTTAATTTCTAAAAATCAAGAGGAAAAGTTTCTTAATTAATTATTTATAATGGTTAGCATATTATCCTTAAATATGTAAAATTTATAGTACAGTAGAGTAGTGACTTTATGTGCGATACTTGATATATTGGTTCACCATGTATAATCAACTAACATAGCACATTTTTGTTTACATACAGCGTTGGTTCAAATTTTACTATTGTTTATAAAATACTAGTTTTCATAGCTGTGAAATTTTTGATGTTGTGTCTTTGGCTTGAACTGTATCAAAACGCTTGTCAAAGAAAAAGAAATCTACTTTAAGACAATCCCCCATTTACCTAAACATTGCAGTAAAAGTGAATGGCTATCTACAATTACTATCTGGTTTAGGAGACACTTGGAAAAATACAAGTATTCATTGATGAGGATATTTAATGTTGTGCAGCAATTTCATCCGAAGCAGGGTGTCCTTTATGCTGCTGAGAGAAAAGAGATTTAGGAAGGATAACTTTACAAAGAAAAGAAAAATAACAATTGAATGGGACTAATGGTCTAATTAATCCCATTAAGCAGGAGGTCTATTCGTATAGATAAGATTCCAGAGAGACAGAGAGAGAGAGAGAGAATAAGAGAGAAACTGTGGGGGGCAGATTTTATTTCTATCATTTGCACTCTTCCTTTCCACTTTCCCCACTTCATATCTCCAGCTTTGATTTGAGCAAAGTCAAAAGAGAGACACAACACTCTCATTTCTTAACCTGGTATCTACCAGGCCCTTTATGATTGTCCCTCCTTTCTTTATAGCATGTATAATACTGAAAACGTGAAGAGAAGGGGAAAACAAAGAAAAGGATCCTCAGGATAAAAAATGATTACAAATCATATGTTATAGTGCAAAGGTACAAATCCACAAAAGGTTTTTCATAGATCAATGAGTCATGCTTTACTAAAGTAGGTGGCACTGTTGGACTGTCAAAATAAAGATATATTTAAGGAAATTCAAAGACTTTTCTATTTGTTAAGCTGGCAAATACACGCATATGCCCTTTCAGAAAAATTACATTCATTTTTTCTGAGATATGAGTGTGAATTATTTATCTAATTATTTTGGTGAAGACAGAGTTGCAATAGAAGGACATAATAGGAGGGCAAAGAAGGAAGGCCGAGGAAGAAGGAAGGATCTCAGCGTTTCTTATTTTCAAATAGTTTTCCAAACAATCCACAGCCAAGATTTGTCTGTTTTAAGCTCACAAAGAAAGCAAATGAGATCATTTGACTTCCATTGATAACTATCTAAAATAGTTTTTGGAAGCTTTTGTTTATCATTCAGGGCAACAGTATGTCTTTCCCATCTACCTTTTTATGTAAGCAACTTTTTAAAAGTACATGAATAATGTAACCTAAGTAAATTGTGACATCAGATCACTCTGGCAAATTTATAAAATCAATTATAATTCTTAGGACAACTTTATTCTTAAAAGTATCTGCTTTCCTTCTTGTTAATATTTCAAATCATATAGGTATGAAAAAACATTTTATATGCATTTATGAGGTCTTTCTTATATTATCTGTCATGAGAGAGAATATGATCCAAATCAGATAACATTCAAATTTATATAACATGGTCCAGAAGTTTGCTTTAAATTTTTTTAAAACTAACTTTTTAAAGTTAAAAAATACTGGCTTTACTTTGTCAAGAGGTTATATGGTTCAAATTTAAGCCTGTATACCCCAGGTTTTGTAATCTTTGCAATATATGAGGCTGCCTATTATCTATGTTTACATGAGAGCTTTTAAGTATTTTGATGAAAATATGTATTAGTGTTCTTTAGAGATCATTATGTTAAGTGAAGTAAACGAGGCACAGAAAGACAAACATCATACGTTCTCACTTATTTGTGGGATCTAAAAATCAAATCAATTGAACTCACAGACAGAGAGTGTAGAAAGATGAGGCTGGAAAGGATGGTATAGGGTTGTGGAGGAGGTGGAGATGGTTGATGGGTACCAAAAGAATGGATAAGACCTACTATTTGATAGCACAATAGAGTGACTGTAGTCAATAATAACTTAATTGTATATATTTTTAAATAACTTAAAGAAATTGGATTATTTGTAACTCAAAGTATAAATACTTGAGGTAATAGATTAAATTAATTTAAGGAAATGCCATCAACTTTCAACTGTAAGATAAAATTGAAACATTTTATCTTAACATTTCCAAAACATAGCAATAATAGTCATATAATGGTTTCTAATTTCGTTGTAGGATTCTGTACTCCAAATGGTGACTGAAATGAGATATGAGGTTAAACAAATTCCATTAGAGCACCTATCTAAAAAATAAGGGCTAGTTTGAGATTTCTAAGTACAACGTCTTCTATTAATTTCTAAGTTTTTAACAATGTTTACCAACTTATAAAGCATTCCTTTCCTATCCTTCCACATAGTTACAAAGTTATAGATCAAGGTGCAAAAAGTGTTGTTGATGGAAACTCTTGCAGCATAGAGTGATAACATACCTCTTATTTCACAAGATATTAAAATATCATAGATCCATATATCCTTCTCATCAGCATTCCACTGGAAACCAATGGCCAATTTAAACATGCTGCCCAGTATGTGTCATGTACAAAACAAATTTGGTATATTTGTGAATAAAATCACAGAATACTGCCTCTTATTTGAAAATTCTGGAGAAACTGTCATTTTTTTTTTTTTGGCATTTAACTCAACTATAAAGTGAAGTTAAAGTACACGTATAAGTAAACTTTATGATCAAAATCATAAAGTGTTAAAGATTCCCCAGCATTTCAGAATTCTTTATTCCTCTGTACTTCAGCTGAATTACCAAAAAGTAGGAGGAAAAGTCACTGCTATATGATTTCACCCCGTATAAAGTTGACCTACAATTCTTACATCCTTGCAAACATTTTAGTATGTGAATTATTACAAAAATTCTTCAGTACTATATATAAAATACTTTATTTCTGAAAATTTCTATTCCAAAATTATATTAACTCTACTCTTGAGGATTCAGGGTGAATTCTTCTATAAAATAACAGTAATATTAGACTTCCTTATAAAGTCTGTCTATGTCAAATACTAACAACATTAACGTTAGACTTTCATAAAGACATATGTCCCCTTTTGTAGATTTGCAAAGATATTCTTCAACAATTATAAAGGAAAAAAATCAATGTATGTAATAAGATTAAACAGCTCAGATAATATATACATAATTTTATATATCTGTAAAATATGTACATTTATCATATATTTTATATGTATTTATATTTATGCATTGCATATATACAATTTAATAACAAATTTATAAATTATACACTTCTGGATTTAGTTGCTTATAAAACATTTACCTATAGATAAAACTTACACAAAATTTTTGTTTCAGTCAGCTTTAATACTTTCTTCTTCAGCTCATTGTATTTCTTAGTTTTCCACTGTATTGATGTCTACTTTATTTGCTAGATAAAGCTATGAGTTTGTTCATTCCTTTACTGAGTGAATACTTTGTTACAGACATCATGCCAATCAATCTCTCATTTTACTGAATGCAGAGCTGAAAGTTGCTAAGACGTTTGGCTCTGCTGCCCAGTAATTTATAACAGATAAAGAAAATTCAGGTTGAAAACAGCCTTGTTACTAACAGATCCCAGGCAATTTAATTGAATATGAGTCAATACTACCACCCTATTGGAATTGTTAAAATTAAATGAAGTACATAAAATGCCTGAGACCTAGTAGGCACCACTACATTTTTTAGTGGGTGTGTAGAGAGAGGATAGTGTACAGAATAAAGTTCCACCAAAGTAACACTAACTTTCTTGGAATTAGAATAGTAAGGTCATTCTTTCAAAAACATCAGTTTAAACAAAAATCAAAGGTAAAGCAAAATAATACAATTTAATCCTAATATTGAATATTCAGTTGATGTACTGAAATATTTTACATTATATACTTCTAAATGTAATTAAAGCAATTTTATTTTAATATTTATTGCTTTTTTTTATTCATTCGTTTTTTTTTTTTTGTGCTATAGGCAATCCTACTTATCAGGGGTTTAATGTGAGACCTGTCTTGTTCCAGTACATACTATTGTGGAAAGGACTTTAGAAAGGGAGAGGAAGAAGTACACTTAGAATTTTATAACTTATGATAGTATATAGTTAAATGGTATCTTTCATCATAAGTCTCTTTCAAGTGTCTTCAAGTTTCAATAGCTGTAAGTAAGCAGTGTGATGGCAAGAGAAGAAAATAAAATTTAATCTCCCACAGAGCAATTTCCCCTCCACTATAGATTCCTTCTAAGCTAAATAATTAAGCCTAATATTGATAGATAATACTTAGTGGTATGTTTGTGTGACCTTGTTATTTTTAACCTCATAAACCATAAGTATAGGATCCATAATTAGTCTCTGTGGTAGTATCAGCAAAGACATTGGAACTGAGCTCTGAGAAAAATTCTCTCTTTACAGTTCCTCTGCAATTAGGGTTGCAAGGCTTAGCTCACTGGGAATAGGTGTGTGTTAGGGGCTGGATGGGGGACTGGGGAGAGGGGAAGTGAATAATGGATAGGCATAGAGAAAACCCCCATGGGCTGAATCGATAGGACAGAAGTGTGAATTGTGGTGAAAGTAGGTGTGGAGAGAGACAAGGAAGAGAGGCATCCTCAGAGTAGGTGTGGGTAAATGAGGACAGGTTTTGGTTAGCTAAGCAACAGGTAGTTGGTTCTCTTGTCACCCTGACCTGGCCTACCCAGGTCATTAGAAAAATTAGGTTTTGGTTGTATACTGTCTTCAGAGATAAAGTCTGGATCTGAAAGTTACCTGAACAGTAATTAACATGCCCAGACATGGCTCTAGAAGTCTGTAGTTCTGAAAGTAACCTGTCTACAGTATGATATATTGGCTATTTCATTGATGAATCCAGATATAACTCTATAGTGCTTGTTGTCATTAATTGGCTTAAACAGTTCAGTGAGCATCAGATCTGGTGCGAGATAGGTTTGTGTTTAAATATCTACTCTCACACCTATTAACTGTGTGACCTTGGGCAAATTTTTTAACCTTTCTAAGACTTAGTTTCATGATATGTGAAATCAGGATAATAATTTCTGTGCCAGTTAATATATTGCCAGGCACTTAAAAGCAATCAGCACTTTTTATATGACCTTTTTTTCCTTATAACCATTTATTATGTTAAAGGGAAAGGATTAAGGGAGATCTAGATCTTAGTTCATATATAGAAATGTTCATATAAAGAGTATTCATATAATGGGGCCTAAAGCAAACCACACTGAAACATTTTACACAAAGCCCTTTTACTATTCTCAAACATTCTGCAAAGTCTTAATGAAGTCTCAAATGTTATTTCATTTATATCTACCTGGAATGCTTAAAATTTCAAAAGAAAGAAGAGCCAATGATGATTTAATAGCCAATTTACTTCTTATAAATTTCTACTCTTTCTTTAACTACTTGAATGCTCTTTTTAATGATGTCCTAATTCTTGCTACCCTACAAGGTCTGATCTACCTTAACTTATTCCTGGAAATGACAGTCAATCTGAGAAGGAAAATGCTATAAGTTAATAAGCAGAATTTTAAAATGACCCTCAAGAGCAGCAGATGAATTGCTAATTAGAATTATCACTGTTGCCTCCGTAAGACTGTTCTAATATCTGAATTATGTCAGTACATTAAAAGTAGAAAGTTCATTAATGTTTTTAATTCATATCTATTATTTATAAAGCAAGTATGAGATGGGAGTATAGATGTGAGTATATTTTCTGCTTCTCACTATCTGTCCTCTGAGTTTCTTATTCTTCCCTTCTGGCAGGAGGACTAGAATGAGACTGGGCTCTTGCAGTCAATTCGGTCTAGGTTCAAGACCCAAGATAAGCACTTAACATTTGTATGACCTTGAACAGGTGATTTAACCTTTCTGAAATTCATTTTTTTCTTTGGTAAAAATCTAGGATTACAACAAGCCCAAAATTTTATTATGTCAAGGTAAAAGGTTATTAATATACAGCTTTAATGTTTAATGGTAGATTTTCTGTGCCTGACAATGATCCTGTGCTTCCTAATCTCAATCATAGGCTTTTCTTTTCATATTAGACAATGCTAGTGACACATCAGTTAAAGAGGTGTGAGCTCATGGTGATGGCAAGTGTGTGTTGAATTGGATTACATTCTCTATCTCATCCAGTGCCTCTTGTACGCATCTTTGAAGAAAGTAGCTGTGGATATGGGTGGAAGCATAAAGGATCCTAGTAACTGAATAACATCAGTAACACATTCATGATTTTATCTTCATTAGCAATAGGACTCAAGCAATTGAAAAACCATTGACTTTGTAAAAACACATGTGCGTGGGCCAGGCACAGTGGCTCACGCCTGTAATCCCAGCACTTTGGGAGGCTGAGGCGGGCAGATTACTTGAGGTCAAGAGTTTGAGACCAGCCTGCTCAACATGGTGAAACCCAGTCTCTACTAAAAATACAAAAATTAGCTGAGTGTGATGGCACATGCCTGTAATCCCAGCTACTGGGGAGGCTGAGGCAGGAGAATCTCTTAAACCGGGAGGCAGAGGTTGCAGTGAGACAACATCACTGCATTGCTCTCCAGCCTGGGCAACGAAGTGATCTCCGTCTCAAAACAAACAAACAAACAACAAACCAAAAACAAACAAAAGCACATCTGCTTGCTCTTGTGTAGAGAGATTCCTTTTTGATTTCTTTGTAGCACTAGTTTAAAAAATAAGAAAATTAAAATAATAAGCTTCAAGTTCCTGAGTTATCAAAGGTAAGTTAGCGTTAATATATTCATTAATAAAAAGTGATATTGTTATATGAGTCAAAGTTAGTGAAAGAATTGAACACGTTTGATTATATCAAACTTCTAGAAAATAATCATCATATTTACATTATATACTTCTCAATGAAATTAAAGCAATTTTATTTTAATATTTATTGCTTATTATTTTTATTCATTCTTTTTTCGGTGCTATAGGCAACCCTACTTATCAGCCGTTTAATGTGAGGCCTGTCTTGTTCCAGTACATACCATTGTGGAAAGGACTTTAGAGAGGGAGAGGAAGAAGTATATTTAAAATTTTGTAACTTATGATAGTATACAGTTAAATGGTATAAAAAAATCATGTTCTTACCTTAGGACATTTTTCTGGTGTATGGTGCAATATGAATACTTTTAGTAGCAAATAGCTAAAGATAAGATAATTTTAGGACACGGGCGGTGACTCACCCATGTAATCCCAGGAATTTGGGAATCTGGGGTGGGTGGATCATTGAGGTCAGGAGTTCTAGACCAACCTGGCCAACATGATGAAACCCCGTCTCTACTAAAAATACAGAAACCCCATCTCTACTAAAAATACAGAAATTAGCCAGGTATGGTGGCACACGCCTGTAATCCCAGGTACTTGGAAGGCTGAGGCAGGAAGATTACTTGAACCCGGGAGGTGGAGGTTGCAGTGAGCCAATATTGTGCCACTGCACTTCAGCCCAGGCTACAGAGCAAGACTCAGTCTCAAAAAAAGAAAAAAAAGAGAAAATTTTATGATTTTTTTTTTCTTCTAAATATGATGGTCAAAAGTAATTCTCAGTCTTTTGAAAATAGTAAAGGATGCTGTAAAATATATATAAATAAAAATAACCCTAAGGAATATTATCTATTTCTCAAAGAAAGTTAAAATAATACAAGCTTGGATATGGCTGACTTAATTAAAACTAATTAACATTGTTATTGTGTAACTAATGGCTTGAAAAGAGCAATGTCATGAGCCATCAATTATGGATTAGTGTAAAAAAGAGTAGGTGCTATAGACTAGAATGACACTATAAGCCTCAGGGTGTTTTGATTTTTTAAATATATTTATCTGAAGTATATTTATCAGATTATAATATAGCATTACAGTTGTAAAATGATAAACATAATATCACTAATGAATTGTTTATCACTAAAAAACTGTTTACAGGGTGTTATAGGGATTAGGGTGTTTTATGAAGTAAGATTTTTTCTGGACTTCAGTAGTTCACTTACACATGTATTTTGTAAGGAAGTCTAGAATAAAATTGGAGGTTTTAAATACTTATGAAGGATGTCTATTTCACTGGTTATTTTCTTCCTTTGTGTGGAGCCAATGGGCATTATATTTTTTATATTTTGGGAGGAGTTTTATTTATATTTTCTGAAATGATAGTTGATTCGGCCCTATTATAATGAAGCTTTCATGAGGCTTTTCACAACTCTAAAAATTGTATTCTTCTCAACTTTGTTTCCCATGCGTCCTACATTGAAGTTTTTAAAAATCTTTGCTTCTCTAAACTGCTAGTTTCTTCTGTGACTTCTCTTCGAACTCTTCCCTGTACTATCCTACCCCTTTATTTTAAACTTTTAATATTTTGCCTTACATAAAGGGTTTTTTTTTCTTTTTTTCTCTATACATCATAAATTCTTCAAGGATTGTGATATTAACTTATTCATCTGTTAATTCTCTCAGCATTTTATATGAAGTTATATGGGATATATATGAAAAAGTGCCCATAAGAGTACATAAAATATTAAATAAAATTGATATATTAAAATATCATGTTATTTTGGAATTTGTAATACATTAACAATGAGTATCTTCAATCTAACCATGTGTATTAGTCTGTTTTCACGCTGCTGATAAAGATATACCCAAAACTGGGTAATTTATAATGGAAAGAGGTTTAATGGACCCCAGTTCCACGTAGCTGGGGAGGCCTTACAATTATGACAGAAAGCAAAAGGCACGACGAACATGGCAGCAGGCAAAGAGAGAGCCTGTGCAGGGGAACTCCCCTTTATAAAGCCATCAGATCTTGTGAGTCTTATTCACTATCACGAGAGCAACATGGGAAAGACCCATCCTCATGACTCAATTACCTCCCACTGGGTGCTTCCCACAACATGTGGGAATTGTGGGAGCTACAATTCAAGACAAGATTTGGGTGAGGACACAGCCAAACCATATCACCATGTTTTTATGAAAACGTTGAAGAAGTTTAATGTTGTCCATTTATTTATATTTATTTATTTACTTATTTATTTGAGACAAAGTTTCACTCTTGTTGACCAGGCTGGAGTGCAATGGCGCGATCTCCGCTCACTGCAACCTCTGCCTCCTGGGTTCAAGCGATTCTCCTGCCTCAGCCTCCTGAGTAGCTGGGATTACAGGCATGCACCACCACACCCAGCTAATTTTGTATTTTTAGTAGAGACAGGGTTTCTCCATGTTGGTCAGGCTGGTCTCGAACTCCCAACCTCAGGTGATCCATCCATCTTGGCCTCCCAAAGTGCTGTGATTCCAAGCTTGAGCCACCACACCCAGCCTGTCCATTTATTTTTACAAATGAAAAGAATCTCCTTATGCTCTAGTAGATATATACAATGTTCTAGTTAAGAATGTTCTATTGGCCAAGCATGGTGGCTCACGCCTGTAATCCCAACCCTTGGGAGGCTGAGGTGGGCTGATCACTTGAGCCCAGAAGTTCAAGACTAGCTTGGGCAACATGGTGAAACCCTGTCTCTACAAAAAAAATCCGGGCATTGTGACATACATGCGGACCTATAGTACCAGCTACCCCGGAGCCTGAGGTGGCATTATTTCTGAAACCTTTGTTCTGTTCCACTGTTCTATATATCTGTTTTGGTACCAGTACCATGCTGTTTTGGTTACTGTAGGCTTGTAGTATAGTTTAAAGTCAGGTAGTGTGATGCCTCCAGCTTTGTTCTTTTTGCTTAGGATTGTCTTAGGTATATGGGCTCCTTTTTGGTTCCATATGAAATTTAAAGTAGTTTTTTTTTCTAATTCTGTGAAGAAAGTTGATGTTAGCTTGATGGGGATAGCACTGAATCTATAAATTACTTTGGGCAGTATGGGCATTTTCATGATATTGATTCTTCCTATCCATGATCATGGAATGCTTTTCCATTTGTTTGTGTCCTCTCTTATATTCTTGAGCAGTGGTTTGTAGTTCTCCTTGAAGAGGTCCATCACTTCTCTTGTAAGTTTTATTCCTAGATGTTTTATTCTCTTTGAAGCAATTGTGAATGGGAGTTCACTCATGATTTGGCTCTCTGTTTGTCTATTGTTGGTGTATATGAATGCTTGTGAATTTTGCACATTGATTTTGTATCCTGAGACTTTTCTGAAAAGAAACTAGCGTCAGAGTGAACAGGCAACCTACGGAATGGGAGAAAATTTTTGCAATCTATGCAGCTGACAAAGGACTAGCAGCCAGAATCTACAATGAACTTAAACAAATTTACAAGAATAAAATAAACAATCCCATCAAAATGTGGGCAAAGGATATGAACAGACATTTCTCAAAAGAAGATGTATATGCGACCAACAAACAAATAAAAAATGCTCATTAACACTGGTCATCAGAGAAATGCAAATCAAAACCACAATGAGATATCATCTCACGCCAGTTAGAATGGCAATCATTAAAAGTCAGGAAACAACAGATGCTGGAGAGGATGTGGAGAAATAAATGGTTTTACACTGTAGGTGGTAGTGTAAACTAGTTCAACCATTGTGGAAGACAGTGTGGCGATTCCTCAAGGATCTAGAACCAGAAATACCATTTGACCCAGCAATCCCACTACTGGGTATATACCCAAAGGATTATAAATCATTCTACTATAAAGAAACATGTACACGTATATTTATTGTAGCACTATTCACAATAGCAAAGACTTGGAACCAACCACATTAATGATAGACTGGATAAAGAAAATGTGGCACATATACACCATGGAATACTATGCAGCCATAAAAAAAGAATGAGTTCATGTTTTTTGCAGGGACATGGATGAAGCTGGAAACCATCATTCTCAGCAAACTAACACAGGAACAGAAAACAAAACACCACATGTTCTCTCTCATAAATGGGAGATGAACAGTGAGAACACATGGACATAGGGAGGGGAACATCACACACCAGGGCCTCCTGGGGGGTAGGGGGCCAGGGGAGGGATAGCCTTAGGAGAAATACGTCATGTAGATGACAGGTAGATGGCTGCAGCAAACCACCATGGCACGTGTATACCTATGTAACAAACCTGCACGTTCTTACCCCAGAACTTAAAGTATAATAAAAAGAAAATGAAAATAAAAAAAAGATACATTGCTCTGCATCTCCAGAAATCTCAGCTGGTAAGATTCACTCGACAAATCTTCATTGTAATAAACAGGGAATTCTAGTGAAACACGCTGTGAAGTACATTCCAAAAGTGATATTTCCATGAAGGAGCTTAAGCCCCTTGGAAAAGTCATCACCTAGAATCCAGAGATACTTTGAAATGCAAATAGTCCACTTGAGACAAGGAGGCACCTGTTGTTCTGCCTTGATTATGTCTTCAGGCCTCAATTTCAAGTAAATGAGAGAGCAGAAGGAAGGTGTTCTTTTGATGAGTTCTGCCCTCAGGGTAATAAAGGCAGAGGGAGAATTGCTAGGTGGTATCCATTCCTAATTCTTTCCTGGCCATCAGAAATTACAAAACACTCACTGTCATTTTGAGATGTGAGCAAAGTATAACTTTGGTTATATGCTGCCGGTTTTTCATTAATAGTTAGCAGTGAAACTGAAAAGTTAAAAGAGTATTTACTTGCTGTCTGTGGGAAAAACAGGAAAGGAAAAACCTAAGAAGAAATTATTACATATTCCTGTATGTCTCCAGGGAAACAAAGCATCGAAGAAGGGTAGGTAAGTGACAATCACTAAGAGGCAGGAGGAAAGTGATCTGCAAAGGATAAAGAGATGAGAGAATATGGCGAGGCTTGGATCTGAGAACAGGTACTCACGCTTAGCACACAAAGAACGTGATCATGAAATGCTGACTCAAATATGTCCATAGATGACCTAAGCTATGCAAAGGACAAGAGATACATCAATAAATAATTTAGATATATTTTGTGTTATTTAGTATTCAATACCATTCATCAGTAATATTACCTATCTTCATTCATCAGTAATATTACCTATCTTCATTCATCAGTAATATTACCTATCTTTGGACAATTCTCACACTTCCCTAACTACAGTAGTCATTTACCTATCTTCTTAAGCCTCCTACTCAATCATATTTTTATTATTTCTGCATTCTTACAATTTTAAAATATAATTAAAGTTATTTGGCATAAATGAATTTAGTTTTCTTTTTCCCTCTCTCACATATATTGACATTTTCATTTATCTCCAATTTATCTTCGCTATCTTATCTCATTCACAGGAGATGAGGTGCTCCTTCTCTGCATCCTCAATCGAGTCCAATCTTTTCACTTTTACATTTGATCTCATCTTTTTTTTTTGTCAACAGCTACATTACTCCATCAATATATCCTCTATTCCATTTATATTTGACCTCTAACTCCTTCAGTCACCTCTCTCATCCTGTTTATAAGGAATTTTCTACTGTTTTTCATTCCCAAGCTCCTCCTCAAATAAAAAGCCTTTTATTAACCATACACACCCTAATTATACTTACAATCACTAATCTCTCAGTTTTAATTGATTCACCAACACATTTCAGTTTGTTTTCGTTTTCATCCTCAAGACTAATTAAACATGAAAAGTGAAGTTCATCAGTGACTCAATATTGCCAAATCCAGTGAGAATATTCACTCAAGTTACTGGACCTTTTTACTGTATACTATACACCAGGCACAACTGTCTATAACTCATTACTCTCTGGTATTCTGTTACACTATTTATGTAATTTTCATTTGTGGGCTCTTACTCTCCCTATCACTTAAATATTAGGACTGCCCACAGTTCTCTCTCAAATCCATTACTCTTTATTTCTCTTTGCTTTCATATCTGTTTTTGAGTTTTAGGTATGAACCATGATTGGCTTTGGTGATTCCCGAATCTCCATGTTTAATCCATACATCTATATTGACTTTCATATTCATATATATGTGTACATATATATGTTTATTTATTTATAGCCAAACATACCTACTTTGAATTTTTGCAGCCACCTCAAACAAACTTTCACCTCTTTTCCTCAATCCTTGCCGGATTCCTTTTCCCTGATAGTATCACCTAGACCCTCAAGGAAATACCTTAAAGTCATGTAAAAACATTCTCTTCTTCCATTGTATGGCTCTTCTTCCATTGTATGGCTCTTATTCATTGTCTTCTCAAAATTTGGCTCTTTGGGGAAATTATTCCTCTCAGAAAAGCTTCCATTAAACCTCAAACTGAGCTAAGTGTTCACCTCTATCCTCTTCATGGGTATTTAACACTGCATTTGACACAATAATATGACATATTTAAATGTGTTTACCTACCTAATGAGGGAGTTTTCCATGAAAAAGATACATGATATATTATCTTATGTTCCATCAAACTTAACTAAGATTCCCATGCTTTTTTCCTACTTTTTTTCCCATGCTGTTTTTCCTCCCATGCTTTTTTCTTTTCCTCCTAGAAAAATATAAATAAAAAGTTTCTAGTTAAATGACATTGGGTTTTTGAGCCTGATTGCTTTGTCAACAACTTCATAGTGACATCACAACTAAAGGCAAGAAGTAATACTCTTATGATTTAAAGGGCAAAGCAATGAGGTTTCTTGTTATTCCTTACTAATCACTGCTTGTTTTGACTCTGGAGATTTCCTCATTTCAAATGGTAGTCATAAGATTTATGTGTAAAAACGTATAATTTTATTGTAATCTTTTTTGGTGTAGGCTGTGTTCAATATCACTTACTCTGTGGATTTTAAAAGTTCGAATACAGTGACCTCTAAGAGGGGCACTCCTCTGATTCTAATTGCCCCAAAATTGATGTGATTGTTTTCTGAAGAAGTAAAATGAATTTAAGTATTTAGACATTTATTTAAGTGGATGATTTTCTTTCCCTAGGAAGGACATAACTGAAACAAGAAAAAATAAATCTTATAAAAGATTTTCAGCAGTTTATTGATATCAGGAGGCAAATTGTTTAATTAAACATATATATTTATATATATGTGCACACACATACACATACACATATACATATTTAAATCTGTCCTTCTATGCTTTATCTTATCCCACAGATATTCAATATTCTTATAAGGTTACTCAAAGCTACATGTGATTATTTGTTTGGACATTATATTAAATATAGTTGGTTTCAAAGCAAAAATTGCACAAGACAAATTTTAACAGAAAAGAAAGATTTATTCAAGGCTATTGCAATAGGAGACAGAAGCCATATCTATGTTTGAACTCAACTCTGGAAACAAATGTTGGGCTGGGATGAGCTATATAAGTACTGGGGGATATTAGTGAGGAGGTTGATCAATGAGCTATGTTGAGCACACTGAGTTATTTCCTGTTTGCAAATGCTTTTCTCTGTAATTAGGTCCCCTGTGTTTGCTAATTGGGGCCCTTCTAAGTTAGGGATCTACTTTCCCATAGGGACTGGGAAGATAGGGGCACAATATTCCTTGATAATTGCATTTGAAAGAATGGCTTCCAAGTCCTTAAGAAGGACGTTTATCTATTGTAAAATTGTCAATAGGCTTTTAGAAAGATTTACATATACAGATATTCCTTGACTTGAAGCTAGTTCCAATAAACCCAAAATAAATTGAAAATATTCTAAGTGGATGAGGTGCGGTAGCTCATGACTATAATCTCAGCATTCTGGGAGGCAAATGCAGGAGGATTGCTTGAGGACAGAAGTTCAAGATCAGCGAGACAACATAGTGAGACTCCATCTCTACCAATTTTTTTTTTTAATTAGCTGGGCACGGTGGTGCATGCCTGTAGTCCCAGCTACTTGTGAGGCTGAGGCAGGAGGATCCTTTGAGCCCAGGAATTGGAGGCTGTAATGACCTATGATCACCACTGCATTCCAGCTTGGCTAACAGTGCTAGATATTGTGTCTCAAAAAACAAACTAACTAACAAACAAAAACAAGTAAACAAAGAAAATACTGCAAGTGGAAAATGTATTCAAACATTCAATTACACCTAAGCTAAGGAACATTATAGCTTAGCCTACCTAAAAGGTGCTCAGAGTAATTGTATTATTACATTAGCCAAAATTCAGCAACATCATCCAACCCAAAGCTTATATTACAATAAAGTGTTGAATATCTCATGTAATTTATTAAACACTGTACCAAAGTTGAAAAAGAGAATTTTTACATAGGTACTCCAAGACAGTTTCTGCTGAATACATATCATACAATAATAAAATTGAAAATTGTTAAGTTGAACCATTATAAGTTAGGGCCATCTGTATCACAAAGGGGCAGAGAATTTGCAATTACATGTTTTCTAAATAAAATGCTCTAAGAACAGGGAGATCAGAGCCAAAAGTCAGGAAGAAGCCTGTCTAAAATTTAATCAGCAGAGGGAAACATTAAGGCCATCTTAGTCATTGAGCTTATTAAGAATGTCCAAATTCCCTAGACACATGTTAAGTAGAGGACTATGACTGTGGTTTTATTTTGTTATCAAAGCTGCTCAAGTGTAACCTAACTCAGGACATCATTTAGGAGGAGAACACGGTAAACCAAAATATATTAATAAGGAAGTGGCAGCCTTAATATATGAGATGGCATATTTTTAGAAAAAATTCATGTAAGTGAACCATAGCAGATATGACAACAAATTTTGGCAAAGAGAGGAGACATTCGTGAACTTAGATTTTTGTTTTTTTTTTTGAGACAGGGTCTTAGTCTGTTGCCCAGGCAGTGACACGATCACTGTCACTGCAGCCTTGACCACTGGGCTCAGGTGTTCCTTCCACCTCAGCCTCCTGGGTGGCCAGGACTACAGGCGTGCACCACCACACCTGGTTAATTTCTTCTATTTTTCGTAGAGACAGGGTTTTGCCATGTGGCCCACGCTGGTCTGGAAATCCTGAGCTCAAGGCATCCACCTGCCCTGGCCTCCTCCCAAAGTGCTGGGATTGCAGGTTTGAACCACCATGCCCAGCCTACTCTTGGGGACTCTTCAGTTGCCTTACTTAGACAATTTATTTCATGGTTTTGTGGCAGGTCTACTGCCTGCCAATAATTCATAACTGTAGCATCCTGGATCAAAATTATGGCACGTGTAATCTTAGTGTTTATTTAATTTAGCTCTAATGATAATGAATAAAAATAAATTTGGCATTTGAATTAATATTTTATACTGCCCCAAACTTAAAATTCTTTTTATCTGTAAAATTAGAAGCCAATCCTCAGGTAATAATGTCATTCTTTTTGTTTTGAGATAATTATATAATGTTCATTGTATCTTTTAAACATCTGTATTCTCTTATTTTCTAGATATTTGCAGAGGAAAGTAGTTTATACCAGACTATGATATCATATATACATTACTATGATCTATAATTAAACATAAATAAAAATATTGTACATTACTCTTTTGAGCAGCATTTAATACTGTAAATTTTGTATGAAGAGTCACTGCATATGAATGAATACCTCTACTTTTGATAAGAGCCTGAAAAATCTGTATACAGGCAGAGTTTTCCCCTGAAATTATAATAGGTAGAATCAGTGTGAATATTAATTCTTTTTTGAATTTAAAATAATTCTTGTCCCATTACTATGTGTGAGGCTCTGTTCTAGGAGCAGGGAATACCACAGTGAAGTAAATAGGGACAAAACTCACATACATATGGGTGGAGTCTGAAAGAAAGGAAAATAAAGAAACAATAATATAGTATATTTTAAGATTGTTAGTGTTGTGGGGAAAAAAATCAGAAGTTAGGGAGTTCGGCAGTTCACATTTAAAATTTTAAATATAAGAAACATTTTCTTTTGCAAAGTTTTGTGTGTGTATGTTTTAAAAAATATTTTGCTTTTTAAGAATGTTTAGCTTGGTCTTTTATTTCATGCTATTAAATATGCTGCCATTTTTATTCTGTTAAGTTTTAACCATATCTGGCATTCAGTGTTAAAATTAATAAAATCACTACGGTTGTTTTATGTGTCTTTCTTTAACTTTTCCTTACATGTCCAATATGATGAAATATTGTGGCATATTATAAAGTTTGCATCATTTCTAAAAAAAAGTCAATGAACACAAAAATGAGTAGATTGATATCATTTTTACTTATTTCATTTACCTTATCTTTCCTGTTTGTTGTTATTTTTAGGTGGGAGAATCATATTGCTGTGAGTTATTCTGCTAATTTCTTTTTTCTAGGATAAAGGAAAAGTACCTGGATCAAGAGTTTAAAAACTAATTTCATTATGCAAATAGGTGTATGGTATGTGCATGCATTGCCTGTTATTTGGATAGTAAGTATCTGTTGAGAATATTATGATTTCATTATACCATACATAGGAGAGTCAGAGAACATTATTTTTAAGGACAATTTTTAGTAGATCCATGATGAACTCAGATTATATGAACTGTTAACATTTTACCATTTAAAACAAACATATCAATATTGACATTCAGCATAATAAAATCAATTTTTTAAAGGGTGATTAAAAAAGAGAAAACCAGGCTTTATGCTTATGTGTGGAAAACATATCTACCAAAATATATTTATATGTATTAAGCTTCCTTTGAATAATACTGTGCTTCAATGGAATAATAGACCTACTGGCCACTTTTTAGAAAATAGAAACAAAGTCAATTTTATTACAATTGTTGTCCTTATAATAATGTGAATTAGAAAACTATATGTTTTCAGTAAAACCTCTTGTAAGGACAATGGAGTTCTTGAAATGTGGGCTTTCGTAAAGGGCCAACTGGCCCAAATTTCAACCTCATTTGAAGAATGGTATATGATTGGCTTTGCCCGTTTCTGACAGGGACTCAGCCTGGAGAGAAGGGGGCTTCTGGGTCAGATTACTTTTTTAAAGTCGTGAATTCCCTATGAATTTAATAATTTATTTATACTTCTACCTGGAGAAAATCAAACAATGCTTTTTCCTTTTAAAATTTCTTATGTTTGATATTGCCACCCCATGGCTTCTATTTTTCTCTTCAAACTGGTCTTTTATGCTTACTTTTAATTTAGGACAGGTATCATCCTGGCTTCTGTATACCTTTAAGGATTGATTTAGGTGATACATGTCTCAAGGGGCTCCCCTATCTCTGACACATATTTGATTTTAGAGTTTCATTCAACAATGATGCATTGGTCATAATTGCCCTTGATTTTTTAGACAATTTCCAATAAATGTGATCAAATACAATCTACGTTTGCCCCAAACAATACAGTTTCTGATAGCTGCTTGTGACTATTTAAATTTAAATTTAATTAAATAAAATTAAATGGAATTCAAATTTAGTCCCTCAGTCACACTAGCCCCATTTCAAGTCCTCAAGAAACGCATGTGGCTAATGATTACGGTGGTATAGTAGAGATAGAGAACATTTCCATTATTGCAGAAAGTTTATTGAATGGTGCTTATATATGTTTTTATTGAGAAATAATGCAACTGACTTTTAGATTAAAAATCCATCCAAGTTCTCCACAACTCTATTAAACAGAAAAGCTGAAACTAGCTTCCAGATCTTTGGCATCAAGTAAGACGCTTTTTAAGAGTTCAGCTGCGCCCAGGAACATGGGCCATTTATAATGCCTAATTTTCTATTTAATGGTTTTCCTTCCTTGACCTTGCAATCAATATAGGAGAAAAGTTTTGCTGTATTCATTTATATGAAGAAGAAAATTATTAGGATACCAGAAGTTGTATTTAATTTTTTGTTTGAAAATGTATACATGTATCTAGATTCTTTGATGTGAACTTAATATTTAATGATGATCCTTAAAATATCAGTATAGCTTAACATTTCTAACAATCCTAGAAGTGAGAGATAATAGAATATTTTGACAGTATGAGTTTAATTTGTGTTGTAAAGGTCTTAGAAGGGTCTGAAAGCCTCATGACAAGTCAGAAGGTGGAAGGCATTGTCAAGATATCTCATTTACAGATCACAAATATATACTGTACCATTGAACTCATCTTCCAACTTTCTTGTGAATCAGATTTGGGGTTAGGTTAGACCCCAAAAGGTTTTACTACCTATGGGACAGGTTAAATAAACATGTTAAGGCTAAATTATGTGGGTGCATCAGAAGCAAGTTTTTATTGCTGTAAGAAATAAAAGCAGAGTTTTTAGAGAGGCTTTTATAATGTATCTTTAAACACTTTATTTACTGTGGGGCAGAAATTACATACAGTTTATCTTCTATGCAATTCCTTCCAAAAACAATTGTGTATTTGTCACAACACACACATCAGATACTGAGAGTTAAAAATAGATATACCTACCAGCAGATGTGGTATTTTTCATTTTCAAGTAAATCTAGTCCAAATCATGTTTTCTTTCTTGGGGTGTGTGTTCATTTTTTCATTGACATACCAGTGTGTGGGTATCTTCAAGTTATATGTATTGCAGTCGTGGCACTGAAACCCGGTCCATAGCCAGTTCACCACATCAATGCTTAGGCCCAAGGAAGATTAAGTTAAAGTAGCTCAACAGTGCATCTGGGAAATAGGGCCTTTCACCTTTATTTTTTTCTAAAATAGATGGTTGCCTTCAGTAAAGCCAAAGTAAAAGAAACCACAAATCCTCCTTAAATAATAATCTTTAAACTTTTATAGGGGTTTTCATTTAATGCAGATTGTTTGCCTCTTGACTACCTAATATTTATATCTCTTTTTATTTACTTTATTTTAACACTGTATTTCTTTTGTGTAGGCAATTGTGTATTTAAGAAATGATGGCCACTATCACTTTAATTTTCTCTTTCTTTCCTGTAATTGACTAAATTTATAAAAATATTCTGAAACTTTTGTGTCACATTAGAGTAGTAGTTTGATTCCAGTTGAACCAACATTGGAAATCACTTATTTAATCTTTTTCTGTTCACTTCATGTGGCTTCTTCATACAAGTGTTTCTTAGCCAGCACACACATTCTTATCGCCTGAGGAGCTTTTGGAAAAAATGAATGCTGGTGCTAGGATATTCTCCCAGATCAATTAATAATTCCCTCCACCAGATATGACAAGGTATTTTTATTTTACAACCCTTCTCCATTTTTCTTGAATTTGCTGTGATCCCACACTTTACGTAATTTGGCTAGAACATTGAAAACAACGTGCTTGTTAAAAAGCTAGTATGTATACATATAAACCCATGTTTGTACTATAACACACTGACTCTAATAACTGGGAAAATACCCATAATGAATCTTAATTTCTTTACTAGGAGATTTATGGGGAAATATTTTGTTGATGCCTTCCACGCTTTTAATGCCCTCACTGTGTGATAAACAGGAACCATGTATCAGAATGTAGCCAGGTGTGGATTGAATTGGAAAGAAAGGATAGTTCATATCCCAGCTTAAGTTATCCATTAGGAAATACATGTGAATTTAATTCACCCGTTTTCATCTTTAAGATTATGCACATTAAATAGGGAGCAGACTCACTTATTTAAAGACTTATTCAGTTGAGACTGGGTTTACAGTAATTTTATAAGTATAGACATCTGTGTTTAGTGCCACGTTCAGCATAGTTTGTTGAATAAAAACCAAATTTTAAATTCTAGAAGAAAGTTTTGATGCATTTTTTCTAACCAAAACCCAATATATTTAAAATATAGTTTAAAGTGCTAAATGGCATTATTTTATCCATAGTTTTCCTTACCAATACAATTGTTGAAAAAAAAATCTGATTATCACAAAGATGAATTGCCTAAGTCCAGGAAAATGTGCAAATATAGAACCAGTGAAATCTTCAAACAATCTTCTTTGCAGAATGCCCAAAGTTTCTAATTAAGGTCAGTCCTTAAGTAACATGTAAATATATTCAATCTAATATTGATGAAGCCAGATACAGCATAGTGATTAATTATGCATTACTTCTACAGAGTTTTCAAGTTAAAGAGATTAAGTTTCCCTGTATAAAATAATTGGTCATAGGGAGTAGGTGAATGAAAATAATTTATTTTAGTCTTAATAACACAGGGTGTTTTAAATTAATTATAGGCTCTTAAAATCCATTGATTTTGTAAGTAGACTTCTATTTTCTTATTAACCTTAAGTTACTGATAGAAAGTTGAAATTGTTAACCATTTTTATGTAACTTTTCAGCCAATTCATATAAACTCTTATACGTAGCGTTATTAATCTGTAATAATTTGTCATAATTTTCATAAGCAGTTGCTAGAATTTATAGCTATATGAAAACAAATTTTATGCTAGGCATGGTGGCTCAGGCCTGTAATCCCAGCACTTTGGGAGGCCAAGGTGGGTGGATCACTTGAAGTGAGGAGTTCAAGACCAGCCTGGCCAACATAGTGAAACTCCGTCTCTACTAAAAATACAAAATTAGCCGGGCGTGGCATGCGCCTGTAATTCCAGCTACTCAGGAGGCTGAGGCAGGAGAGTCACTTGAACCCAGGAGGTAGAGGTAGCAGCGAGCCAAGATCGTGCCATTGCACTCCAGCCTGGGCAACAAGAGTGAAACTCCGTCTCAGAAAAGAAAAAAAAAATGCTATTAAAATAAAAACAAAGAGCAATACATAATATCATGAAGATTTTAAGAGAAGTACAAAATACTTTTTATTCTCAGAAACTGTTGAATTTTAAAGAAACAAGATAAAGTGATTGACAGATAGATAGGACAATGAGAATATGTAAGTTATCTCTATAGTTAAGACCTCAATGTCCAAAGACACAGTTTTTTATTGAAAATAGTTATTCTTTCCTTCAAAATTTGCTAGCCTATACTACATCAGATAAAAACATAATAAACCTCATTGACTTACATAATAATTTCTAGTGTGAGAATACCTTTTCAAAGGATCATTGTAATACCCCTATAATGGAGACAAATGTTTTCATGCATATTTCACAGAAAAGGAAATGGAATGGATACTATATAGCGGGGCCCATGTTAGTCATCTTACAAAGATTACCATTAATATTCTCCATTTTTAAGGTAATATAACTTACCTAACCATATCATTTTGATTATGTCATAATGACCCTTTTGAAAAGTGACTATTCCTTTTAAAGGATTTAGTGAAAATGTTCCCCTTCAAATTTATTATTTGGCAAATAATATGTTTCTCCTGAACTGATGTATTGTGACTGAAGGAAAAAGTCACATACACTACGATACAATTAAATTCTGCTAAATAACTGGACTATTTGTATTAATATTAACAATGTGGCTGTATAAAAAAAAAAAACAGGTCAGTAGAGACACACAGAATAATCAGGTGAATTGGAATACACTGCATATAGATCAATAGTTACTCCAGAACAAAGTTTGAAGATGATATAACCTATGTCATATGTATAAGAAAATAATATGGAAAATATGTTTTGTTATGTCTTAAGAGATATTATTTGTGGTGAGAATGTTTTCCTGAAATGAGAAGGGATAATGTTTTCAATTTTTAAAAATCCTTATTTTACTAACTATTGGTTGAGGACATGATTAAAGTTGCATTAGCCTTTTCAGTTAAAAAAGGTTGATCTTCAGTTTCTGATAAACTTACAAGGCTCTTAATTTGTTTCTTGTAGTTTAGCTTTGGACTGTCTTAGCACCTGATCACTGACTGTAAGAACAAAGAACCCCGTGACTACCTAAGGAAACCTTTAACTGGCCTTATATTGTCCATAGTAATCCACAATGGAATGATTTAATGAGAGCCAGTTTCTTAGAACTTTGGAGTTTGAGGTTTGGTTTTACAGGTAGAGGCTTAATTAAGTGGCACCTGGCAGGCAAGAGTTGGTCTGGACTTGATCTAACAGATTCCATTTACAAAATCACCTTCCAGAGGGTGCTTCCCTGGGTATATTCAGCTCTACAACTGATATTTCAAGTGTTTTTGCAGTATTTTACTTTCTGCTCATTTGTATAAGAATTAATCCATTACATAAATTTAGTTTTGAAATATAAACAAGGATATATTATATATATATATATATTTAGTCATTAGACCCTCTCAGTAATTACAAAGATTCAATAATAAATTATGCCTTCACTAAGGAGGTATCATTTAGACATGTTCTGTCAATAAATGCAAAATGTTCCTCTATAACCATACGTAAGAGGAAACTAACATAAGGGAAGCTTTTGGGTTTTTTCCATGCAATCCACATGGTATAGTAGTGTATAATACTGTGTCCGGAATTGGTGGGTTCTTGGTTTCGCTGACTTCAAGAATGAAGCCGCGGACCCTGGCGGTGAGTGTTACAGCTCTTAAGGTGGCGTGTCTGGAGTTTGTTCCTTCTGATATTCGGATATGTTCAGAGTTTCTTCCTTCTGGTGGGTTCGTGGTCTGGCTGGCTCAGAAGTGAAGCTGCAGACCTTTGCGGTGAGTGTTACAGCTCTTAAGGCGGCGAGTCTAGAGTTGTTCCTTCCTCCAGGTGGGCTCCTGGTCTCGCTGGCTTCCGGAGTGAAGCTGCAGACTTTCTCAGTGAGTGTTACAGCTCATAAAAGCAGTGTGGACCCAAAGAGTGAGCAGCAGCAAGATTTAGTGCAAAGAGTGAAAGAACAAAGCTTCCACAGTGTGGATGGGGACCCCAGAGGTTTGCCACCACTCGCTCGGGCAGCGTGCTTTTATTCTCTTATCTGGCCCCACTCACATCCTGCTGATTGGTAGAGCCCAGTGGTCTGTTTTGACAGGGCACTGATTGGTGCGTTTACAATCCCTGAGCTAGACACAAAGGTTCTCTACGTCCCCACTAGATTAACTAGTTACAGAGTGTGGACACAAAGGTTCTCCAAGGCCCCACCAGAGTAGCCAGATACAGTGTCGATTGGTGCATTCACAAACCCTGAGCTAGACACAGGGTGCTGACTGGTGTGTTTACAAACCTTGAGCTAGCTACAGAGTGCCCACTGGTGTATTTACAATCCCTGAGCTAGACATAAATGTTCTCCAAGGCCCCACCAGAGTAGCTAGATACAGAGTGTCGATTGGTGCATTCACAAACCCTGAGCTAGACACAGGGTGCTGACTGGTGTGTTTACAAACCTTGAGCTAGATACAGAGTGCCGACTGGTGTATTTACAATCCCTGAGCTAGACATAAAGGTTCTCCACGTCCCCTCCAGACTCAGGAGCCCAGCTGGCTTCACCCAGTGGATCCCTCACCGGGGCTGCAGGTGGAGCTGCCTGCCAGTCCCGCGCCGTGCGCCCGCGCTCCTCAGCCCTTGGGTGGTCGATGGGACTGGGCGCCGTGGAGCAGGGGGCGGCGCTCGTCGGGGAGGCTCAGGCCGCACAGGAGCCCACGGAGGGGATGGGAGGCTCAGGCATGGCGGGCTGCAGGTCCCGAGCCCTGCCCCGCGGGAAGGCAGCTAAGGCCCGGTGAGAAATCGAGCGCAGCGCCGGTGGGCTGGCACTGCTGGGGGACCCAGTACACCCTCCGCAGCCGCTGGCCCAGGTGCTAAGCCCCTCATTGCCTGGGGCCCGCAGGGCCGGCCGGCTGCTCTGAGTGCGGGGTCCGCCAAGCCCACGCCCACCCGGAACTCCAGCTGGCCCGCAAGCGCCGCGCGCAGCCCCGGTTCCCGCTCGCGCGTCTCCCTCCACACCTCCCTGCAAGCTGAGGGAGCCGGCTCTGGCCTTGGCCAGCCCAGAAAGGGGCTCCCACAGTGCAGCGGCGGGCCGAAGGGCCCCTCAAGTGCCGCCAAAGTGGGAGCCCAGGCAGAGGAGGCGCCGAGAGCGAGCGAGGGCCGTGGGGACTGCCAGCACGCTGTCACCTCTCAATACCACACGCTATACTAGTAGTATATAAGGATGTTTGCTACATAAATCATCTTTAACATAAATTGGTAAGTAGCTATGCCATGAGCTATTCATACTTAACCACAGTTTTTGTAATTTTAGCAGAGTTGGTTATACATGTTTAGTACCAATATATCTGTTATTTTTAGTTGTTGAAATTAAAAAGAACCTTTAGTCAAAATTCAAGTCTTTTTAAGATGTCTTTTACTTGATAAGATTGTGGTGGTTAATCTTCTTCAATTTTTGCTATACACAGCTAATCGATTGTCCACCAAAGATTATAACAACATAGAATTTTAAGGTAAATTTAAATATAAGAGATTTGCTATATATAATTGTGCAAATTTTTTAAAAATTTTAATTATTGAGAGATTTTATTTAATTTTAATGAAACTAATTGTATTACAGATATCCCAAATGGGGATATAATTTCAAATAAGACAAACTGTGCTCTTCCAGTAGTTTGAATACTGTTCATTATACTGCTAAATTTAAGTAATACTATTTGAATAACATGGAATGGATTATACTTGTTATAAGTTAATGTAATTCATAATAAGTATTTTTATTAATTTGTGTAATTTTTAACAAAAAAAGCAATGTCTCTGATAAAAATTATTTTTATTCATAAGTAAATATAAATGTGTATATAAAATGCAAAACAATGGTTTGAAAATCAGAGATTATAATATATTAGTTGCATTTCTTTGATATAAGCAAACAAAAACATTTGGTGTGAAAATTAAAATCATTTTACAAAGCAAAAAATAGTCATATTTTAAATATATTGTAACATTAGAAAATTCTTTTTTCAGAATATTCTATCACTGGTAATGTAAACCTTTGGACATGACCACAATCATAAATTCAAAATTCTCTAGAACTTACTCCCTCTCTAACATATTATTGTAGTAATATATAATTATGCTGTTATATAATGAGGGGTACTTCGGTTTGCTTTTCTATTGGCACAATATAATTTTGTAATGTAAACATAAATGTAGTCATGTTAAAATATTACTATCTTGTAAATGTATAATGCTGTAGAATTTAAATTTCTATTCACAATCAAAAGCACATATAGTACTCATCATTGTAATCAGAAATTACAGAAATCAGAATACCATCACTGCTTTACAGGTGTGAAAAATTAGCCTCAATAAGTTTAAGTGGCCAGATTCAGTACATGAGTTTTTCAGCATTCTAATAGCTGCCTCCTCAAAACACAGAATGTGATTGGCAATTAATCAGTTGTAAATATTATAGTATTCAAATATTGCTGTAGAAGCATTATTTCAATACACAAACATTTTGTAAAACTTTTAATTTATACATCCAGTTGTGTTTTTTATACTTTCATCAGTAGTGAACAAATATCTATTAGAGAGCCGTAGTATTGAATTTAGCTCTCTGAGTTCAAAGCACTTACTTCTGTTTAAAATTAAGTGCCATGATCAAGAATTGTTAACTAATTTTTAAATTTATATTCTCATCAAGTAAAGAGTAGAGACCCTAGAGATTTATAGCAATCTACAAATCTCGCTTGAATATGTAGGTGTCATTTATCTATTGGTGTGTTTTATTGTGAAAATGGTTTCAAGTATCGTTGTCTGTACATTTGGATAACAGACTTCTAGAAGTAGGCAGAAAGAGGGTTGACAGTGACTGAAATGTTGTTTTACACTATTTCGATTTCCCTCATCATCACTTTTCATGTTTAGTTAAAGGCATGTAGCTTCATTTTGAGGAAATTGGAGTTCTAAAGGAAGAATAAAATAAATAACTAGGAAAAGCTGTGAGTGGTAATAAGAAGCTGATAGTGGAATTCACCCTCCTAAATGTAGCTTTTATTTATTTCCTGATAATCTAGTAGCAATTAGGTACTGAGTAATGTGTGTGTGTGTGTGTGTGTGTAACTTCACTTTCTCTCTATCCATTCCACCTGTTACATGGTGTTGAAAAAGTTTAGAAACAGAAGATTGTATTTTTGAATAATATGTTAGCTATATTCTGAACAACATGTTCAATATGTTTTACTTTGACATACAAACACATATTAAAATATTTCTAAATTTAAAACAGTGCTTCCAAAATCAATGAATACATAATTTATCTATTTTCTAGACTATTCACATACATTATGATTTTGCCTTAAAAAATAAATTAGACCCAATGGTTTAGATTTGGATATATTTCACTTTACAATCTAACTGCAAGTTAAAACATTTCTTAAGCAAGTTACTTAAGAATGCAAAGAACTTCAAGAAAATAAGTCAATTAATTAATGCATTTTTAATGACTACCTCCAAACAGCTATTTCATATGTAAGCAAGCTTACTACATTCTGAACCCACTCTATTTTAAGTACAACTTTATAGGAATAAAATATGCATTTTAAACATACTACCTTTTGACATTTTGTAATTGTGTAAATCATTAGATTCAGTTTGCATTGTAGCAACTTGAAGATGTCATTGTCATAGGCTGCATTTTTATATTTAAAAATATGCAAATAAGATATTTCACACAACGAAGTACCAAGAACAATTACGTAAAAATATAAAGATATTTTTCCTTCAAAAATCCAACTGTGGATTATATTGGGGTATCATAATACAAAAGCATAAATAATTAATCATCTACCCAGGATATCTTTGGAATTGTTTTGATTCTATTTTCCTGAGGGTAAGCCACATCATTAAGACATCAATTAAATCAATGAAGTGGATTTCATTTCATCTATATGCTCAAAGAAATGAACAATTGATATTTCTTAATTTCTAAAACTGAGAAAATTTAGTTATTTTTAAATCTAACAGTTATAAAGAAACTTTATTTTATAAGACTTTGTGTCTTTTTACAATCCCAGGACTTTTACTTTTATTGCTGTCAAAAATATTATTTTTGCAGGTCCGTGGTGGTTTAGCAGAATGTACTTAGTGAAAAAAAGCATAAATACTTATGCTGTTATTTTTATTACAAATAACAACACAACGTATTTCCCTAAATATTCAGATGGTTTATATAGTTTTATAATCTAAAACAAATTTTGACTTTGCAGTTTTCTGGGGTTTGGATAGATTTTACAAATATTTACTCTACATCTTGGTGATTTAGTATAAACCCCTCATATTTAGATTATATCAGAATATAAATACTAATTTTCACAACTTTCTGAGTTTCCAGTGTTTTTACCAAAGCACTTTAAAATGAGTTAGATTTTCTAAGTTTAGGAAGCCGTGTTTAAATGCACGACAGTAATTTAGTAACAGAAATAATTTTACTGTTTGATTTTGAGGCAGTTGTATTAAAGCTTATCCTAATTTTAGACCTGTAAGCATTTGATATGGCTTTAAAACATCAAGAATATTTTGGCTGAATCATACACAATGACAAAATAACGTTTCTGAATATTTGGAATATATTATGTATAAAACTTTTAAATATATGTTATAGAACATTCAAATATAGAATTATTAATATCCTTAATCTCAATAGATATATCTGAGAGGTTTTTCTTTCTTTCATATAAATGTACATTCATAGAAATAGATTGAAATAGATGTAATGCTTTCTATGTTGACCTCTTTCAACCTAATCAGAAAAAAACAAGATACAATTATTTTTATAGTTCATAGGACAGAGTCGATTTTGGTTACTGGCAATTCAGCAGGTAGAGTCAGAATTCTTCAGTGAGTCATGCCATTATTTTCAGCTGTTCTTTCCTTTGTTGCATTCTTTCCCCAGCAGAGAAATCTGCAACAATACACTTTATCTGCAGTGTCATGGGATACCTTTTTATACTTAGTATGTTTTTCTAGTGATGGGTTACAGACACTTTTCTCAAGAATGGGAAAGGTGCTGCCATTGGAAATGAGATTGTACCCTCAAAGAGGTGAGAAAATACAAGAGACTCAGTGAGTCTCTTGAGGCTTTCTTCAGAGGTTTTTCTGTTTATGATATTAGTAGATTGCACTTTATTTTTCAAAACCAGTTGGGCATTCAGACTTAGATATTTAGAACCAATCTAATATTGGGCAAAGATATAAAGTAAAATACAATTTTAATATCTAAGAAGGTATTTTTCTTGCTAATTTTTAATGGTTATTATGATGTAGGATGCAATTTATATTTGTAGTTATTGCCATATTATACTATACTAGTATTTTCAACATAAAAACAAAAAATTGGGGTGTCATTAGTTGGCAAATGCTATGTTTGAAAAATAAATGGTGAACATCAAAAACTCTTTTGTCTCCATAAGGGTATGATATTCTTCATGTTAATGCCACCATCCTGGAGGAGACAGCACAATGTGAGTGAATATTCAGGTTGCAGAATTTACTCTAGCAGTGTCATTTTGCCCAACACGTTCACATTTCATTGGCTTCAGTTGCTTTTACAGTAAAAGTATGAGAAAACAAGGATGAAGTATAGTATTTTATGATTCTAAAGGCCAGCTAGGTGTGATTTCCTTAATCTGCATTTAGGAAGATAAAGGGGAAGTTGAAAAATGGTAGAAACAGTGGAAGTAACACAGCACATTTGAGTTCTATGTGTTCAGCTCATTGCAAGGAAAAGTGCCACATCTGCTACTGGCATCGGTGAGTGCAGGTTGGGCAGTTATCTGTGTGGCTGTATACAAGGGTCAAGCACAAGACACAGACTCAACCCTGCCGCTAATCTTTCTGTTCCTATTGGTCTTTTAGAAATTTTGTTCTCTAGTAGATTAGGAACATCCTTGAGAAGGAGCAATGCATGAAGTGACTAACTGTGTATATGCGTTTCAATAATGTCAATACACACAGAAACACAAACACAAATCTGTTTTTTTCAAGTGAGCCAAGATATCATGATTTTTGGAATTCTTTTGAACTATTCAATTATATCCCCCAAAATATCATTTGAGACAAAATAATTCAAGTTTGTGAGAAGTTTGAACTAAATGTCATATTTCAGCTTTTGAGTTGTTCTTTTACATTAATCAATACTTATTTGTTTGTAATTGCATTATCTAGTTGGCTATGCTAACTTCTTATTTCAGAGAGTTTGTATTTTACCAGCTTATACAGTTGATAGTATTTTATTGATTTATTTTGCCTTTAATACTATGTGTTTTTCTTTGCATGCATATAGAATTATATATACTTATTCTATGTAGATTTTATTTATAAGAACTATAGGTTACTGTGCAAAGAAGCTTAAGGAAAATATGAAAAAAAGCCATGTAATAGAATAGTCAATGAAGTTAAAAATGTAAGTTGGGCTATGATATCTGATGTTAACTAATGAAGAATTGTGTCCATTTTTATGGGATTTGGCAATTTTAATATAAATAACACAATTTGGGGGCTCAATATTCCCTCTGAAATGAGAGGTAATTACATTTACTACTTATAAGGGTTTTTTCAAGGATAAATTACCTTATGAGAAGGCAGAAGCATCTTGCCTGTGGAGTGAAGGGAAGGATGTAGGAAGTAATGGGTGGTGAGTTATTCAGAAAAGAGAGAAGACAGTGAGATGAGGTTGTACAGAACAGATAACACGTTCAGTTTCAGGCTGGAGTTAAAGACCAGTGGATAGGGAAGGCTGTTAGCAGATATAATTGCCTAATGATGATATGCTATAAACCAGGCTTGTAGCTAAGATTCGGGAGCTGGAAAGCCATCAGGTTAAAAGATGGGCTCAGTCATCAGAAAGCAACCTATATTTTCAAAAGCCTCCCACTCTACCGGGTTCTCTTGGATCACGTACAGTTACTATATATTTTTATGCAGCATTTTAAGTGCAGTTATCCTTATCCAGAAAATTTATAGTTAGTAATTTAATACCAGTTTACATAAATTAAATTCTTTCTTAACAAATGATACATTTTTCTGTAGGAAGTTTCGAAGGGTGGGGTAAATGTGGTTTCTTTATTGTGCATTGAGTAGGTCAAAAAAAGGTAAGAACATTATAAGGAAAGTGGAAATGGACAGGTAAATAACTCGTATGACTTGATCTAAACATGTACATTGGTAGTATATCTTAGAATAAATATTTAAAACACAGCTAGATTCTCAAATACCTTTTTAACTCTGTCCTTGTAAATCCTCCCATATCTATTAACATGCCTGGAAATGTTCCAAGTGCCTTGCCAACATTATCTCACTTAATTCCACATTGATCCTGAGCTTGCATTATTGTGTTGAGTTTGAAGATCAGGTTTTGGTGGCTTAAGAGGTTAAGTAACTTGCTGAAATTCACACATCCCGTGAATGGAAAGTCATTTGACAGGTAACATGTAGACTTAGGTCCAGACAGTTTCTCTGGGTCATATGTCCTTTTAAAATGGCTGGTGCTTCTCAGCTGCATGCCAGAATATCACAGCTTGTCTTTAACTTGGCAGGATTTGCAGACTTGCTTTTAATTAGCTGATTATAGACTTTGGTTATCTAAATTAGCTGTTCTCCTCCTTAGGGTGGGGAACCCAGAGACTTGTGTCTTGAGAGTACACTGGTTCCTGCTGAAACCAACCTACACAAAACCTATGATGTCTAATCTTCCTTCATCTATGATTTTTTGACAATGAAGGTAAATTTAGTCAGAGACTAAATATATGTATTAGTAGCATTCAGTATGTCATTTTCTTCTGTGAGGCTTCATATTCTGCAAAACCCTGGATTTCATATGAGAGCCAGTTATTTTATGTAATACACTAAAGGAAATTAATGGCCAATCATTGGTGAGAAGCATTACAGTTTTCAAAAACACAGACTCTGGAGCCAGAATACCTGGGTTTAAATCTTAGTTGTACCAGTGACTGCCTGAATAATCTTGGGCAAATTACTTAAACTGTTTATGCCTCAATTTCTTAATCTTTTAAATTGGGATGACAGCAGTACCCTCCTGATGGGATACAAATTTGAGGATTAAATACTTAACACATGTAAAGTGCTTAAACAGGGTGTGGCATATGGGAAACATTGTAAAAACGTTTATTCTGTAGGAGATATTTGAGGAGTAGTAGTGATAGTAGTGGTTTTATTGATGCTATTCATGGAAAAAGATGCTTCTAAAAACTACTGATATACTTTGACCAAAACTTCTTACTTGATTCTCAAGGGTAAACCCTATTATATATCATGTGTCAAACATAACAATATGTAACAATATGTTTTTATATATAAATATTTAAGGAAGTTGTAACAGAGATCCAATCCTTTTTAATTCTGGCATTTTTTATGAATATAGATAGGATATATGTTAATGGAAATAGTATAAATTCCATCAGATAAAACCCACAATTATCCGGAACTCTCATTGACTTCAGTCTCCTATTTGGGGCAATTTAGCACGTTTTCACATCTCAGTATAACTACTTCTAGTCTTTTACCACCTGCTTCATTTATTAGATGATAAGATCACTTGCTGTGTGCACCCCAAGATCTCAGTGACTTAACCCAATGGAGATTTATTTGTTGCTCAAGCTAGATTGTCTAATATGGGTTGGAAAAGAATTGTGTTTATATTAATCATTCAGGAATCCAAGCTAATGACACTTCACCATGTGTGGTTTCAAAACTGACAAAAAGAACCCACATCAGTTTATCCACATTTATTAGCCAAAGGAAATCACATAGTTACACCTCACTTCAAAGTGAGAAAGGTAGTATTAGATTGGTGCAGAAGTAATTGCGGTTTTTACCATTAAATGTAATGGCACCAACTTCTGCAACAACATAAAACAATTCTATTTTTGTCAGAAGAAGAATTTTTGCCAAACAGCCCTCATGGTCTCACATTGGAAATAAGCTTATCTTCTCTCTTGCACTGTGGTCTTAGCTGCCTAACCACCAGCCTGTAGCTATAGTTTTCTAATCAAATTAATATATACCATGGATCAGTTAAAATACGTCATATCTTGATTTGAACATAGAATTTTAAAAATGTTCAGATTGCTTTACTAAGCATGCTTTAGGTTCAGTGATATGAGAATATGAATGAAAAATTGAAATTATCCAAAAGGATTTGGTGCTGGCAGAGAGCCACTTAGCACTGTGAATGCATATGGGAAGCCTTTCCTCCATCCTCATTGCTTACAATATGTGTATAATTGCAACGGATATTTTTGGATTATTTTTATTGAAATAGTTTAAGTGGTTATAGACTTACAGCATTATGAAGAAGAAAATGAACTAATTATTCCCAATGAGTTAAAGTGAGGATAAATTGCAACAAATTTAGGTGATGATCTACCTCTCATCCTTGTAAAATGAAGAATCATAAGCTACGAACCTTTTAACTGAATCTCTTCATGGAAAATGAATAGGGCATGGCAGAGTCAATCTGTTAATTTCAGCCATATTAACCAGCCATGAGAATTCCCGCACAGTCTCTCAGAGCCAATATAAATCAGGACGATGACCCTAATGAACAGATTGTCCACCAGTTAGTGGGATTCACTGAAGTGTAAAGGCAAAGATTGTATTTTGTGTGTTTGGAAAGTAATTATTTTTCCAATTTGCCTTATTATCCCATTTTATAAAATATGTGAAGATATATTGCAAATTTTCTTAGCAAATTTATTATAAATTATCTTAGAGAAAAAATTCCAAATATGTCAAGAATTATTAATTAATGGTAAGCAAATCAAAAGTATACAAACAGGCAAGAGATGACAACTTACATACTAAGAAAACTTTTTAAAAAGTATTTAGTATTATAAAATGATTTTGAAGAGGGATTAAACAAAATTTGGAATAATTTTATTGTGTGACTGAGTGTGGTGGCTCATGCCTGTAATCTTAGCACTTTCGGGGGCCAAGACAGAAGGATTGCTTGAGCCCAGGAGTTTGAGACTAGCCTGTGCAACATAGTGAGTCCCTGCTTCTACAAAAAATAAAAAGAAAAAATTAATCAGGCATCGTGTCACACACTTGCAGTCCCAACTACGTGGGAGGTTGAGGTGGGAACATCACTTGAGTCAAGGCTAACAGTGAGCCATGATTCTGTTACTGCTCTCCAACGTGGGCAACAGAACAAGATCCTGTCTCAAAAAATAATTAATATGATTGTGAAAATCAGTATATATTTGAGACAGATTTTTCAACGACCTTTTCACCTAATTACCAAAATGCATTGTTTTTGTTAATTGTATGCTACAAATAACTTGTGTGAATGATAAGAACATAGCTTTAAAGAAATCAATATCCAAAGTATCATTTCTATTTCAAGATAAATTTAAGGGCCTACTTACACCTTCTAACTCCATGGTCTAAAAAAGTAAATTCTCATCTTCTTTATCCTGGGGTATTACCCTAGCTTCATCACTGGCCCCCCTATTTCTATTCTTGGCTCCCTTCAGTTTATTTTCAACACTGTAGCCAGAATATTTCTGATTGCATATTCATAGCATGCCGTTCCATGGCTCAAGTTTTCCAGAGGTTCTCATTTCACTCAAAGAAAACCAAAGTCCTTTGAGTGGTCCTTGAGGATATACACAGTCTGGCTATTTCTGAATTCATCTTCAGTTATACTCCTACCAGCTCTCTGCTCAAGTCACATTGGCCTCTTTGCTGGGCCAGGAACACAGCTCAGGCATCTCTCCCTGAAGTACTTTGCACTGTTTGTTCCTTAGATATTCTCTTTCCCATTTGGATTTCTACTGCACCAAAAACGTTGTAGGCTCTTACTCAAAACTACAGACTCTGTTAACTATTTCCAGACCATACTCCTGACCCACTATTACATTACCTACCCTGCTTACCAGCTTTATTTTCTATGAAACTTATCACCATCTAAAGTATTTTGTTACACACGCACACACACACACACACACACACACATGTGCACACAATCTTTCTCGTGTCTTTAAAATATAAACATCATAAGAACAAGATTTGTGCTGGGCGCGATGGCTCACTCCTGTAATCTCAGCATTTTGGGAGACCGAGGCGGGCAGATCACTTGAGATCAAGGGTTCGTGACCAGCCCTGGCCAACGTGATGAAACCCTGAGTCTACTGAAAATACAAAAATTAGCTGGTCTTGGTGGCATATGCCTGTAATTCCAGATATTCAGGAGGCTGAGGCAGGAGAATTGCTTGAACCCAGGAGGTGGAGGTTGCAGTGAGCCAAGATCGCACCACTGCACTCCTGCCTGGGTGACAGAGTGAGACTCCATCTCAAAAAAAAAAAAGAAAGAAAGAAAGAAAGAAAGAACAAGATTTGTCAGATACTCAATGCATGGAATAAGACTTGGCAAATGTTAATATTTATTCTTGAGTATTGGTTTTGCTTGAAAAGGAGTTCAAGATATTTTTTTAATTTGATTCAATAATTTGTATTTTAAGTGATTTGAAAGATCAATTTCAGACATCATAATTACTGGTAAAAATTACAAGATAGATAAATATAATCACAATGTTTTTGAAAGACATAAATACATCAAATCATAAATGGAGAGCAAGTCTTTTAACTACTCTTAGTGAAATTTATCAATACAAGATAGGTGTGTGCAAAGTGAAGTGTCAGATGTATGCCAAACCTTAGAATACACTTTGTACCTCTTTCTAAACAGTCAGTTTAACTCAAAGATATGAGATTGCATTGAAAATGGGCCACTGGAGACCAATTTCCAATTCTTCTAGAATGTTTTACTGTTCTATGCTAAGGAAAATTTTTTGGAAATATTTGAGAGGCATTGCTTTAACACATCCTATGTTTTTAAAGGTTTAATTCAATTTAATTCAACAAATATTTATTTGTTCACCTACTGTGGGGAAGAAAATCACACTAAAATGACCACATTTATTTTGTTACTTCACTTGCTTGAATAGTGCTTGTTTTGAAAACAGTGGTTGAATTTTTGTAAAGATTTTACAACAATGCCATGCACAGATTAAGCAACATAGTCTAATTCCATCTATCCATCCAATCTGTCTGCCTATCTATATTAGGTTTTCTATGTTTCAAATAAGGATGACTTTTTTTCCCACAGTATTTTCTGTCTCCTGGTGTCCCTGTGTAGAACTAAATCACAGTCTTATATTATTTGCAATTTTTTTTTTTTGGTGAAGAATAGGGGCATTTTAAAACACACTGGCTTTTCAGGATTATCATAACTTTTGAAAAACTGTAAGGTAGGTGATATAATCAAATAAAGTCCAGGGACCATAAATATTTTATGTAGTGGTGTCTATCACCCTTAGTTTGGCAGGCAAAAGAATCATCCCTGTCATGCTCAATAATGTGGACAAATAGAAGTAATGGAATGGTATAATTTAAATTGATTTTGGGGTGATTAATTTCATTTATAGTAAATAGTATCATTTGCTAATATTTGTATACATTTAAAAATAGGACTTTTCAAAATATGTGGCCTTTTGGATACATTTAATTTACATGGAACATATAAGTTATTTCCCCATGATCCACCTGATCCATTAAGTTTGATGTTAACACGGCAATGGTAGAATCTTTGTGCTATAATTTGGAGAAATATTAAATAAAAGAAAGTTCTTCCAGTTTGGCATAAAAGGTTAAGGAGAGACAATAAAGACAAATTCTTTGCGTTTGAAATTCCAGCTTTGTTACTTAGTAGCTGTATGACTTTAAGGAATATTTTTAACCACTCTGTGCCTTGGTTTTCTGTCTGACAAATGAGATTAATGTTTATATCCCTTAGGATTGCTGCGAGTTAATATCTGTAAACATTTAGACCAGTGTCTTGCTTGTACTCTGCTAATAACTAGACTTGGCATCAATGGATTTTTACATTTTAACAACACCCAAATAACCAAATAATGATCTTGATGGCCTTTTATAATATTAATAGTAATTGTATTATGGTATATCTGTGCTTTGTATTAGGGTATAAATTAACACTTTTTTGTGGTGACTCTTGTTGATGAATGTCTCATTAAAGCATCATCATTCCTTCTTAGATTTTTAATGAGGTCTCTTTTTTTTTATGCAGTGGCAAATGAAAGCAGGTAGAAGCGACAAATACAAGCAAATCATTCTTTAATGGTATCTTAGATCTATAAACTTTCTTTTGGATTTATTCACGTATCATGATAATTACATTTTAAAAGTTATTTCAAGAATAACTAATGTTGAATATTCTTCATGAAAGTAATCATTGATTTATATCAATAGTAATTACTCTGTTGTCACATGTTTGAATGTATTTGGAATTTTATTTACTTTCAAATAAACTATATAAATAGAGCCAAGACATAAATTTTTAAGTTTCCAAATATCACTTTTGTGGATGCATGCTTGTAGAGACAGCCTATGTGGGATTTTCTGTCTCAGAGAAACATACAGTATAAATAAGTGAATTTAATGCATTATTTCATTGAAGATTGAGAATAATTGTATCGTGTGACATTTCAAACTTTACATTTGCATGGGTTTGATTTTTGAGTTATTTCTTAAATGCGATCCTGCAAGTATGGGACATATGAAGACATTTGAAAAGGAAGGGATAGGGTTTGAATACGATAGTGGATTAAGGGGGGAAAAAAAAAGGAAAGAACTAGATGAAATACTACATGAGTAAGGCCGGGCGCAGTGGCTCACGCCTGTAACCCCAGCACTTTGGGAGGCCGACACGGGCGGATCACCTGAGGTCAGGAGGTCAAGACCATCCTGGCTAACACGGTGAAACCTCGTCTCTACTAAAAATACAAGAAAATTAGCCGGGCATGGTGGCGGGCGCCTGTAGTCCCAGCTACTCAGGAGGCTGAGGCAGGAGAAAGGCGAGAACCCGGGAGGCGGAGCTTGCGGTGAGCTGAGATTGTGCCACAGCACTCCAAGCCTGGGCGACAGAGCCAGACTCTGTCTCAAAAAAAAAAAAAAAAAAAAAAAAAAAAAAGACAACATGAGTAAGAAGTAGGAAATTTCCTTAGGGGATGACCAGATTGTTTAGGCAGTGACAAACATGGCTTGAAATGGAAGAACAAAAGTGAGGTATTTTTTGAGAAACTGCTGGATTAGTATCTTGGGAGTTAAACTGTACTCTTAATCAAATAATATATGTGATTACCCTTGGTAAACTGCAGAGTGTTAGGCATTATCAGTATTGCCATAATAATTAATAACATTAATAATGTAATGCTATTGATTTATCCATATTGGTTTTCTTTTCTTTATGCTGACAATTTTCTTAATCATGCAATTTCTGAACCGTTCATAGTCTTCATAGATATGTATTCATTTACTAAAGTGAGATAATAATGTAGATCAATTTAGTATTGCACAATAAAGAATTAATATCTATCTATAAATTTGTTCAGGATGTTAAAAGATTAAGAATTTTATTTATGTTGATCAATTTATGCTATTTCCATTCATCTACTTAGCACCAAGGTATAAGTATATAACAGGAGATTTAAAAAGGAGGAACCAGAAATTTAAAATTTAGAAATGTTTTGTTAACATTTAAAATATTAATTACTAATTATAAAGTACAAATTATAATATGTATGTAGTTGTAGAATAGTACCGTTATTAATTCATATAACTTGGAAATTATTTTAGAAATATATAATCACACCAAGTTGCTGTTGTTGGAGCAATGATCACACTTAGAAGTTATAAACTTTGTAAGTCAGATATTGTAGTACTCACAATTTTATTAGGCACAATGTTGACCCAACCTTATCTAGGCAGGTCATTTAATGAATATCACAGCGTGTAAACAGACATGTCAGGTTGAAAAAGGCATTATCCTAAAATGAGGTCAACATGAGTTGATTCTCTCAGCTGTACGGGCAGCTGAGCCCTCTCCAAATCCAAAGCTAAGTCCGACTCAATAGCAGAGCTTCCTAGGCTGCTAAAAAAGGAACAGCTGCAGCAGTAACAGGGCAACTTCCTCCTTTAGCAACTACTTGAGATGAGGGGCAGCACACTGCCTACACTAGGAGTAATGAAAATTACAGATAAACAAATTAAAAAATCTTTCCAGTTACCTTATGTGTAATTTTCTGTATACTACATTATGCTCATGTGGCAGACAGAAATTAGAATTGTTGGACACAAATCTCTAATAATTTAAAATATCTTTTAGTTTTTTACATCATATATAACTGAAAAATTTATAGTATCCTGAATGTTAAAGAACTCTCACAAAACAACTTGTGTGACAAGTGCATTTGACCCTCAAACAATGCACCATTCTCCCAAGCTATCAAAAATCTCTGTATAACTTTTGACTCACCCAAAGCTTAACTAGTAATAGCCTACTGTTGATTTGAAGCCTTATTAATAACATAAACAGTTGGTTGTATATGTATTATATAATGTATTCTCACAATAAAATAAGCTAGATAAAAGAAAATGTTCTTAAGAATATAAGGAAGAGAAAGTATATTTACTATTCATTAAGTATAAGCTGATACTAAATATATTTATCCTTGTCGACTTTATGTTGAGTAGGCTGAGGAGGAGGAGAAAGAGGAGGGGTTGGTCTTGCTGTCTCAGGGGTGGTAGAGGCAGAAGAAAGTCTGCATGTAAGTGGACACGTGCAGTTCAAACCCATGTTGTTGTTCAAGAGACAAATGTATTTTCTCCCAATACGTGACTGTCTTTTAAATTTCTTTATGAGTCCTTGTGATAAAGATAAATTTTTAATTTTAATATAGTCAAACATCATTTTTATGGTTAGTGCTTTTTTTTTTAAAAAAATCAATAATTAGAAAAATATTTTCCCCCAATATTATCTTTTTAAATAAGGTTGCCATGGTTTGACTGTTTATCCTCTCCAAACTCATGGTGAAATTTAATTGCCATTGTGCCAGTATTAAGAGGTGAGACTTTTAAGAGGTGATTAGGCCATGGTATGAACACAGCAAGAAGGACCTTGTCAGATGCTGGCCCCTCAAACCTTAGACTTCCCAGCCTCCAGAATTGTGAGCCAATACTCTTCAGTTCATTATAAATTACCCAGTCTTAGGTATGCTTTTATAGCAGCAAAAATGGACTAAAGCAAAGACATATACAAATTAATAAATTGAGCCGGGCACGGTTGCTCACACCTGTAATCCCAGCACTTTGGGAGGCTGAGGCAGGCGGATCATGAGGTCTGGAGATCGAGACCATCCTGGCTAACAGGGTGAAACCCCGTCTCTACTAAAAATAAAAAATAAAAATAAAAAATTAGCCAGGCATGGTGGCAGGTGCCTGTAGTCCCAGTTACTCTGGAGACTGAGGCAGGAGAAAGGCGTGGTGGAGCTTGCAGTGAGCCGAGATCCTGCCACTGCACTCCAGCCTGGGCAACAGAGCGAGACTCCGTCTCAAAGAAAAAAATATTAATAAATTGTAGCGTTATAGACACGTTTTATTTTATTTTTAAAAGCTTCCATTTAACACAACTAGTTCAAATCGTCTGCATAAAATTATTTACAATAATCTGAATCTGTGAAAATAACAAATCAACTCTTGTATCCACTATATCCTAGAATCACAATTCTCTCAAACACACAGTATTTCCCTCTATTTTCACAGTCTCTTAACAATGGATATTGGTAGGTTGAATTTTCTGATAACTAGAAAGAAGCTACATGGTCTTTTCTGGTACACCAGCGTGTATATCCGAGTGAAGGTTAAGGTTAACTTAATTTCTCACTTCAGTTGAAAATCAGTTCTTCTACCCTTTTGTCATAATCCTATCAACTACATAGAGAAGCTGTTCTATTTGAGAGTTATATTTGAATTTGCACAGGGAATTAAATTTTAGCTTTCAGAAGCTGAAAGGTTTTAGAGGATGACAAGACCTTTTTGTCTGTATTTACTGTAATAAGTAGTGACCCTGGAGTTCTAAAGGGGTTTTCATAAGGGGCTTTTTCTAAGAATAAAGGACAGTCAGAGGAGGAATTCCAGAGTGTATGGTCTTTCTGCTTCTGGCAGATGGTGTACAAAAGACACTGCTGAACTCTCAGAGACAGAAACAACTGTACTTTTAAAATACATTTAAAATTTATGTATTGGCAATAAAACAGTCATTTACATTTCTCCAGTAGTTTTTCTTGAGCTGTCAGAAATTTTTTTTCCAATGAAGACCAAATTCTTTATTAAGTTATGAAGTAGTTAGCATACAATTGCAATAAGAGAAAATGACCCTACCAGTTTCCTGAGTTAGCATTTTAAATTTGTTTATTTGCTGAAATTCAATCCATTAAGAAAGTCATTTGGGGCTGGGCATTGTGGCTCACGCCTATAATCTCAGCACTTTGGGAGGCTGAGGTGGGTGGATCACAAGGTCAGGAGTTCAAGAGCAGCCTGGCCAACATAGTGAAACCGTCTCTACTAAAAAAAAAAGGAAAAAAAAATTAGCCAGGTATGGTGGCAGGTGCCTGTAATCCCAGCTACTTGGGCAACTGAGGCAGGAGAATGTCTTCAACCCAAGAGGCAGAGGTTGCAGTGAGCTGATATCGCACCATTGCACTCCAGCCCGGGCGACAATGCGAGACGCTGTTTCAAAAAAATAAAAATAAATAATAATAATAATAATAATAATAATAATAATTGGATGGCAAAGAACCTTTATAGAATGCAATTAGATGAAAAGACAAGATTTTCCTTTGTTTATTGAGGCTTGAATTTTGGAATTTTCTTCCAAGTTCTGTGAGCAGAGCAATGGTAGATGGGGACACAGGGATGTAAGAAAGAACAAATGGGTATGGGTAAGAAATTCTACGCCTGGCCTGAGCCTAGTCTCCATGATCAATGTTGCCTTTGATTTTGGGAGTGCTATAGAGACTGCTCAGTTAATTTTATACAAATTCTCCTCATAACTTGTTCAGTTTTGGGCTTTTCTTTACTATATTCCTAGCCTTTCCGTTCTACTGAGAAACTCTTCCTCTTAAAAGCACCCTTCTGAATGATTGTGTACTTTTTTTTTTCACTTCTGCTTTTACTTACTTGAGATGGCCTTTTTCTGCTAGTTTTGTCCTTTTTCTTACTCCTAGAATTATCACTATTGGAAATTTTAAAACTTTATTATAGTTAGGAGCCCTTCATTATTTCAGTCCAGAATAGAACATAAATACACTTTCTTTCAAATGCTAACAGTCTTATAGTTTATGCTGCCAAACAAAGGCACTGATCTCAATATATTGCCTTAGAGCAGCCGATTAAAATCAACCTTCAAAAATCAACTTCTTATCTTCATTCTAAAAATCCAAGTTATGATGGCTCCCTCATAATTTTTTATGGTTGCTTTAATCAGTTCAAGGTGTTATAACAAAATATCATCCAGTGGGTGGTTTGTAAATAACAATACATTCATTTGTTATAGTTTGGGAGGTTTGAAAATTCAAGGTGAGGTCAAAGGTAGATTGAGTCAGGTGAGAGTCAATTTCCTGGTTCATAGCTGGCTTCTTGCTGTTCTTCACAGCAGATTTATAAGTAAAGGTAGATTGACTTGAACAAATCATTATAGAACTTAAAATTTGCTTAAAGCAATGCCTTATTAATATTATGATCAATGAGTAGAGTATATTAAAGAGCTTTTAGATCATTGAATATCACAAACTTTAAGAAAAAAGGTTATTTTTTTATTTCAAATATCAATTGATGATAGTTTCAGTATTTATCAAATTCTTAACAATCCAAATTTCTATATATCACGAACTTCAAGTGATTTCTGTCTCATTTCTTATTTTCTCTCTTCTCCTAAAGAGAGACTACCCAGGGACCATTTTCTGTATTATTACTTCACTTTTCAGCTTTTTCCTACCAGTCAGTGTAAACATATTTCATATAATTTAATACTACTCTATATAATACTCTGTAAAGTTGGTTTACTTTCAGATCTAATATTCATATCCTTAACTACATTTGACTGTTGACTGTGCCTCTGTATGTGGGTGAGTGTACTGGGCCAGTAGGTGCCTTCGTTACAAGGATGTGTGGCCAAAAGAGACTGTAGTTATGGAAATCTCCATGTGGACCCATCATCCTACTCTCTTATCCTGCTTCTTACTGTGTCGGTGCTGACTGAGACGATTTCATTTTCCTGTGCTGCATTTGCTTGAAACGCTTCATCCCATTCCTCAGAGAGCAGATTTGTCTTTAATGTTTTAGTTTCTCAATACTAATATTGATTGTGGAGTTGGGGGTCATATCCTCCTCCCAACCCCACCAAATTGTCTTTAATATCGCAGTTTTTCAGTTCACCATATAGTGACTACTTAGATGACCTTCTGTCACACATTCTTTCTAAAGTGTTTATATTAAAATGTAAGGCTGGGCACGGTGGCTCACGCCTGTAATCCCAGCACTTTGGGAGTCTGAGGCGGGTGGATCATGAGGTCAGGAGATCGAGACCATCCTGGCTAACACAGTGAAACCCCGTCTCTACTAAAAATACAAAAAGAAAAAATATTTGCCGGGCGTGGTGGCGGGTGCTTGTAGTGCCAGCTACTCGGGAGGCTGAGCAGGAGAATGGCGTGAACCCAGGAGGTGGAGCTTGCAGTGAGCCGAGATGGCACCACTGCACTCCAGCCTGGGCTACAGAGCAAGACTCCATCTCAAAAAAAAAAAAAAATGTAAAAAAAAAATCTTTCAATTGGCAATATGAAGAAGAAAAACATTGTAAAGATGGGAATAAAAATTACCTGCATTTGAAAATTAACACTGCGGGGGAGGAGCCAAGATGGCCAAATAGGAACAGCTCCAGTCTCCAGCTCCCAGCGTGAGCGACGCAGAAGACGGGTGATTTCTGCATTTCCATCAGAGGTACCGGGTTCATCTCACTAGGGAGTGCCAGACAGTGGGCGCAGGTCAGTGGGTGCGCGCACCCTGCGCGAGCCGAAGCAGGGCGAGGCATTGCCTCACTCGGGAAGTGCAAGGGGTCAGGGAGTTCCCTTTCCTAGTCAAAGAAAGGGGTGGCAGATGGCACCTGGAAAATTGGGTCACTGCCACCCGAATACTGCACTTTTCTGATGGTCTTAAAAAATGGCGCACCAGGAGATTATATCCTGCACCTGGCTCAGAGGGTCCCATGCCAACGGAGTCTCACTGATTGCTAGCACAGCATTCTGAGATCAAACCGCAACAAAGCGGCAGCAAGGCTGGGGGAGGGGCGCCCGCCATTGCCCAGGCTTGCTTAGGTAAACAAAGCAGCCAGGAAGCTCCAACTGGGTGGAGCCCACCACAGCTCAAGGAGGCCTGCCTGCCTCTGTAGGCTCCATCTCTGGGGGCAGGGCACAGACAAACAAAAAGACAGCAGTAACCTCTGCAGACTTAAATGTCCCTGTCTGACAGCTTTGAAGAGAGCAGTGGTTCTCCCAGCACGCAGCTGGAGATCTGAGAACGGGCAGACTGCCTCCTCAAGTGGGTCCCTGACCCCTGACCCCCGAGCTGCCTAACTGGGAGGCACCCCCCAGCAGGGGCAGACTGACACCTCACATGGCCTGGTACTCCAACAGACCTGCAGCTGAGGGTCCTGACTGTTAGAAGGAAAACTAACAAACAGAAAGGACATCCACACCAAAAACCCATCTGTACATCACCATCATCAAAGACCAAAAGTAGATAAAACCACAAAGATGGGGAAAAAACAGAGCAGAAAAACTGGAAACTCTAAAAAGCAGAGCGCCTCTCCTCCTCCAAAGGAACACAGTTCCTCACCAGCAACAGAATAAAGCTGGACGGAGAATGACTTTGATGAGCTGAGAGAAGAAGGCTTCAGATGATCAAATTACTCCGAGCTACGGGAGGACATTCAAACCAAAGGCAAAGAAGTTGAAAACTTTTTAAAAAATTTAGAAGAATGTATAACTAGAATAACCAATATAGAGAAGTGCTTAAAGGAGCTGATGGAGCTGAAAACCAAGGCTCGAGAACTATGTGAAGAATGCAGAAGCCTCAGGAGCTCATGCGATCAACTGGAAGAAAGGGTATCAGCGATGGAAGATGAAATGAATGAAATGAAGCGAGAAGGGAAGTTTAAAGAAAAAAGAATAAAAAGAAACGAGCAAAGCCTCCAAGAAATATGGGACTATGTGAAAAGACCAAATCTACATCTGATTGGTGTACTTGAAAGTGACGGGGAGAATGGAACCAAGTTGGAAAACACTCTGCAGGATATTATCCGTGAGAACTTCCCCAATCTAGCAAGGCAGGCCAACATTCAGATTCAGGAAATACAGAGAACCCCACAAAGATACTCCTCGAGAAGAGCAACTCCAAGACACATAATTGTCAGATTCACCGAAGTTGAAATGAAGGAAAAAATGTTAAGGGCAGCCAGAGAGAAAGGTCGGGTTACCCTCAAAGGGAAGCCCATCAGACTAACAGCGGATCTCTTGGCAGAAACCCTACAAGCCAGAAGAGAGTGGGGGCCAATATTCAACATTCTTAAAGAAAAGAATTTTCAACCCAGAATTTCATATCCAGCCAAACTAAGCTTCATAAGTGAAGGAGAAATAAAATACTTTACAGACAAGCAAATGCTGAGAGATTTTGTCACCACCCGGCCTGCCCTAAAAGAGCTCCTGAAGGAAGTGCTAAACATGGAAAGGAACAACCGGTACCAGCCGCTGCAAAATCATGCCAGAATGTAAAGACCATCGAGACTAGGAAGAAACTGCATCAACTAACGAGCAAAATAACCAGCTAACATCATAATGACAGGATAAAATTCACACATAACAATATTAACCTTAAATGTAAATGGACTAAATGCTCCAATTAAAAGACACAGACTGGCAAATTGGATAAACAGTCAAGACCCATCAGTGTGCTGTATTCAGGAAACCCATCTCACGTGCAGAGACACACATAGGCTCAAAATAAAAGGATGGAGGAAGATCTACCAAGCAAATGGAAAACAAAAAAAGGCAGGGGTTGCAATCCTAGTCTCTGATAAAACAGACTTTAAACCAACAAAGATCAAAAGAGACAAAGAAGGCCATTACATAATGGTAAAGGGATCAATTCAACAAGAAGAGCTAACTATCCTAACTATATATGCACCCAATACAGGAGCACCCAGATTCATAAAGCAAGTCCTGAGTGACCTATAAAGAAACTTAGACTCCCACACATTAATAATGGGAGACTTTAACACCCCACTGTCAACATTAGACAGATCAACGAGACAGAAAGTCAACAAGGATACCCAGGAATTGAACTCAGCTCTGCATCAAGAGGACCTAATAGACATCTACAGAACTCTCCACCCCAAATCAACAGAATATACATTTTTTTCAGCACCACACCACACCTATTCCAAAATTGACCACATAGTTGGAAGTAAAGCTCTCCTTAGCAAATGTAAAAGAACTGAAATTATAACAAACTATCTCTCAGACCACAGTGCAATCAAACTAGAACTCAGGATTAAGAATCTCACTCAAAACTGCTCAACTACATGGTAATTGAACAACCTGCTCCTGAATGACTACTGGGTACATAACGAAATGAAGGCAGAAATAAAGATGTTCTTTGAAACCAATGAGATCAAAGACACAACATTCCAGAATCTCTGGGACGCATTCAAAGCAGTGTGTAGAGGGAAATTTATAGCACTAAATGCCCACAAGAGAAAGCAGGAAAGATCCAAAATTTCCTTCTCCTGCCTAATTGCCCTGGCCAAAATTGACACCCTAACATCACAATTAAAAGAACTAGAAAAACAAGAGCAAACACATTCAAAAGCTAGCAGAAGGCAAGAAATAACTAAAATCAGAGCAGAACTGAAGGAAATAGAGACACAAAAAGCCCTTCAAAAAATTAATGAATCCAGGAGCTGGTTTTTTGAAAGGATCAACAAAATTGATAGACCACTAGCAAGACTAATAAAGAAAAAAAGAGAGAAGAATCAAATAGACGCAATAAAAACTGATAAAGGGGATATCACCACCGATCCCATAGAAATACAAACTACCATCAGAGAATACTACAAACACCTCTACACAAATAAACTAGAAAATCTAGAAGAAATGGATAAATTCCTCGACACATACACTCTCCCAAGACTAAACCAGGAAGAAGTTGAATCTCTGAATAGACCAATAACAGGATCTGAAATTATTGGCAATAATCAATAGCTTACCAACCAAAAAGAGTCCAGGACCAGATGGATTCACAGCCAAATTCTACCAGAGGTACAAGGAGGAACTGGTACCATTCCTTCTGAAACTATTCGAATCAATAGAAAAAGAGGGAAACCTCCCTAACTCATTTTATGAGGTCAGCAGCATCCTTCATGCTAAAAACTCTCAATAAAATAGGTATTGATGGGACATATTTCAAAATAATAAGAGCTATCTATGACAAACCCACAGCCAATATCATACTGAAGGGGCAAAAACTGGAAGCATTCCTTTTGAAAACTGGCACAAGACAGGGATGCCCTCTCTCACCACTCCTATTCAACATAGTGTTGGAAGTTCTGGCCAGGGCAATTAGGCAGGAGAAGGAAATAAAAGGTATTCATTTAGGAAAAGAGGAAGTCAAATTGTCCCTGTTTGCAGACGACATGATTGTATATCTAGAAAACCCCATTGTCTCAGCCCAAAATCTCCTTAAGCTGATAAGCAACTTCAGCAAAGTCTCAGGATACAAAATCAATGTGCAAAAATCGCAAGCATTCTTATACACCAACAACAGACAAACAGAGAGCCAAATCATGAGTGAACTCCCATTCACAATTGCTTCAAAGAGAATAAAATATCTAGGAATCCAACTTACAAGGTATGTGAAGGACCTCTTCAAGGAGAACTACAAAGCACTGCTCAAGGAAATAAAAGAGGATACAAACAAATGGAAGTACATTCCATGCTCATGGGTAGGAAGAATCAATATCGTGAAAATGGCCATACTGCCCAAAGTAATTTACAGATTCAATGCCATCCCCATCAAGCTACCAATGCCTTTCTTCACAGAATTGGAAAAAACTACTTTAAAGTTCATATGGAACCAAAAAAGAGCCCGCATCGCCAAGTCAATCCTAAGCCAAAAGAACAAAGCTGGAGGCATCACACTACCTGACTTCAAACTATACTACCAGCCTAGAGTACCCAAAACAGCATGGTACTGGTACCAAAACAGAGATATAGATCAATGAAACAGAACAGAGCCCTCAGAAATAATGCCGCATATCTACAACTATCTGATCTTTGACAAACCTGAGAAAAACAAGCATTGAGTAAAGGATTCCCTATTTAATAAATGGTGCTGGGAAAACTGGCTAGCCATATGTAGAAAGCTGAAACTGGATCCCTTCCTTACACCTTATACAAAAATCAATTCAAGATGGATTAAAGACTTAAACGTTAGACCTAAAACCATAAAAACCCTAGAAGAAAACCTAGGCATTACCATTCAGGACATAGGCATGGGCAAGGACTTCATGTCTAAAACACCAAAAGCAATGGCAATAAAAGCCAAAATTGACAAATGGGATCTAATTAAACTAAAGAGCTTCTGCGCAGCAAAACAAACTACCATCAGAGTGAACAGGCAACCTACAAAATGGGAGAAAATTTTTGCAACCTACTCATCTGACAAAGGGCTAATATCCAGAATCTACAATGAACTCAAACAAATTTACAAGAAAAAAACAAACAATCCCATCAAAAAGTCGGCGAAGGACATGAACAGACACTTCTCAAAAGAAGCCATTTATGCAGCCAAAAAACACATGAAAAAATGCTCACCATCACTGGCCATCAGAGAAATGCAAATCGAAACCACAATGAGATACCATCTCACACCAGTTAGAATGGCAATCATTAAAAAGTCAGGAAACAACAGGTGCTGGAGAGGATATGGAGAAATAGGAACACTTTTACACTGTTGGTGGGACTGTAAACTAGTTCAACCATTGTGGAAGACAGTGTGGCAATTCCTCAGGGATCTAGAACTAGAAATGCCATTTGACCCAGCCATCCCATTACTGGGTATATACCCAAAGGACTATAAATCATGCTGTTGTAAAGACACATCCACACGTATGTTTACTGCGGCAGTATTCACAATAGCAAAGACTTGGAACCAACCCAAATGTCCAACAATGATAGACTGGATTAAGAAAATGTGGCACATGTACATCATGGAATACTATGCAGCCATAAAAATGATGAGTTCATGTCCTTTGTAGGGACATGGATGAAATTGGAAATCATCATTCTCAGTAAACTATCGCCAAGAACGAAAAAACAAACACTGCATATTCTGACTCATAGGTGGGAATTGAACAATGAGAACACATGGACACAGGAAGGGAAACATCACACTCTGGGGATTGTTGTGGGGTGTGGGGAGTGGGGAGGGATAGCATTGGGAGATATACCTAATGCTAGATGACGAGTTAGTGGGTGCAGCACACCAGCATGGCAGATGTATACATATGTAACTAACTTGCACATTGTGCACATGTACCCTAAAACTTAAAGTATAATGATAATAAATAAAATAAAATAAAAAAATAAAAATTTAAAAAAAATTAACACTGCATTTATTTTAGTGATTTATTGTGTGTGTGAGAGAGAAAGATAGTTGCATATATATGTTGACGTCTGCGTGTGTGTTAGTGTGTGAATGCTGAGAAAGTTCCGTTTACAGCAGAAGAAGTTATAAGTTTTAAAACAGTTTATATTCAAAGCTATAAGCATATCTGTGTACATATGACCAAACTACCTATAAACATATTTTATACTTTCTTTACTTAATCATTTGCAAATTAATGTCTCTTCATATCAATAGTCTTCAAAAATAATTTTACATGATTGCATCATATTCTGTCATAGAAATAGAACGTATTATTAATGTTTTAGGACTAGCAGCTGTTATGCCCACTGAGCAGTAACATACTAATACATCAAAACCACAGGGGTTGCAGGAGAGAACGAGTTTAAAGATGGTGGTCCAGAGTGGAGAGATGGGAGAAGACCCTCAAATCCATCTTCCCCAGGAGTTCTGGGCTAGGGATTTTAAGGGAATTGTGGAAGGTGATGGGCCAGGAAATTAGGGTTGTAGACTGGTCCATGTACTGGGAGTAAAATCATCAGGATGTGGAAACTGTATAATTTGGTGAGTCAGCTCCTCCTGAGATCCTTCAGACCCACTGGTGTCAGTGGTTTCACATGAGACAATACTTTAAATGGAAAAATTTTTCGTAGTGCTTATGTTGTTATCTGTAGAGCAGTTAAGGAAAGCCATAATCTTGTGACAGCGATTCTAGGGCAATAGGTGAACATCTATGAGGAAGTGGGTCAGAGAGCAAGCTAACCGAATGATTAACGCTGAGTGTGCTACAAGCTTGGTTTATTTTTGCTTCTTTTACTCCCTGGTTCCATGACGAATTTTACAGAGTTTTTAGGGATAGTTTCATCAACTGTTTCATGTTGTTTATAATTCATACCATTTACTGTTTGTAATATAAATTTCTATATAAATAATGAGAAGTTCAAGTGTCATATGAAAATTGGAATAACTGTATCAAAAGTTTTACCCATTAATAAATCCATGCTTTTCATATTTGGCAAATTCCTTTTCAGAAAGCTGTATAATTTGAAATTTTTTGCAGCAATATAAGTTTGTTTTTAATAATGTTTTATGATGATTAGAACACACACATATCTGGATATATACATACAAATAGGTGCATACATACATACAGAGATAAAGGGGAGAGGGTTGGTAGCTAAAACGGCTTTAAAATTGTGTCTTTTTAAATTACCATTTTTGAGATGGAATATCACCTATACTTTTAATTTCTATGCCTTTCTAAATGAGGGTTTTCAGCATTTCCAATGTTTTATTATATCTGTTGTCAAATACATCAACCGTTACTAAAAATTTCTTCCCAAACCCAAAATTATTCATTTTTTTTCTTATAGCTCCATTGTTGTGATTTTAGTTTCCTCATTTAACTCTTCAATCTCTCTGTAATTCATTATGGTACATATAAAGTAAGGATCAAATTTGATTTCTTAAAAGAAACCAGTTTCTTATTGGAAATAGCTCTTAACTTTTCCCACTGGTTTATAAAGTGCACAGGAACGCATGCACACACTCAGTCCCAAACACATGCCTTCATTCACATCTACAGTAGGGTCTCCTCTAAGATTATCTATTTGTTGCTCATATTGTAGGTTTTAAAAATGAGTTTTTTAAAAAAATATCTACTGTGTAAGTCCTCCTATTCATGGTCCTTCTCAATAAATAATTAGGCTATTTTCTTCTGTTTATTCTTTGAGATCAAATTTAAAAACATTACTTCAAGTTAAAAATACTCAGTTGTTATTTTCTTTAAGCTTGTACAAATCTTATAAATTAACTCTCAAAGAATTGACATTTATGCAATAATTAGTCTTCCCATGTAGGAATAAGGCTCTGAGGAACTATATAACCAACAAAGGAATTTAATAATTGGAAGTGTTTTCCATCTTATGGGATGTAGAGGAAATAAATATTACTTCTGTCCTGAATTTAAAGTAAAAATTATTGAATCATTTGTACCAAGTCTTTGACTTGCACCCTATCTTATCAGCCAGTTTTCTTTTTCTGTGGACTCAGACTGTGTCAGAGGCAAAGAAAGCTTGTAAAGCTCCAGGATGGATACTCATCTTGGTAAAGCTACTTTTTGTTTTCATTCCATTAAATATAATAAGATGAACTATTTGTTCTATTGGTCACATTCTATTATATAAATTGTGCCTTCCTGTTTTCTAATATTGAACGCTTTAGCTAAAAGAGAAGACATTTTATATCACAGTATTTATTGATTGGCTTTGATGAAATGAATTTTAGTCTATTAAAGTTTTAAACCTTTGCTTTAGAGCTGTGGAAAAAAATGTTATGTTGAATAAGAATTTTTGAGAACCTCAGTGGAAAAATTTGGTGGGTGAGGATGTGAAATAACTCATTGTACTGGATTGAGTGCTTTTGTAGAATCTATGAGGAGGTCAGAAGAGATGTTCTCTCCTGTTTCTGTATGCCAGAGGTACGCCCTGGGCTCCTTCCATTTTCTTAGGTCCTATGGCAGGGCTGGGATCCCCACTTATGAAGCTCAGTTACATGTTATTCCTCCAAGTTCAGGGAATCCACAGTTTCAGGGCTCAGGGTTCACAT